>NC_000001.11:205002768-205154283 GCF_000001405.40 Homo sapiens
GCCATCCCCTGCAAGCATGGGGCATTTCATTCTCATCCTCAGCTTCCTGCTTGCCTCTCTCCTCGGAAAGAAGACTCATCCCCCACCCCATTTCCCACCTTGCATGGCGTGTCTCAGCTCTTATTATGTATCAGCTGAAGGCTCCCAGGAAGCCTAGAGGAGCCCAGTGTGCATGCGTAGTGGAGAGGAAACAGTGATTGTGGCCCCGTGCGGGTCAGAAGGAAACAAAGGATGTTTAATGACAACAGAGAACACTTAGCCCCCTGCTCTGCCTGGTGTGTGTGCACATTTGGTCACTGTCTGTGGGTCTGGGGGCTGCAGGAGAGTAGTGCAGCCTGGCCTGTGCGCACAGGGGCTGGCTCCCTTCATGCAGGATCAGGGGATAGGGCCAGCGCAGGGCCTTGATCTAGAAATCGCTCCAGGAGATCAGTGCATTTGTTACTCCCTTGCCACCATCATCTATTGTTAAAAATTTCAAAGTGAGTGACACAACTTGTTTGGGGCTTTGTTTTTGTCCCAAATTTGTCTTGGCCTAAAAGTAGGTGATTTTTTGTCATGCAGGGAGAGGGGAAGAAGCTCTCCAGAACCGGAAAGGTTCTGGCTCTATAGCGGCTTTAGCTGTGGATGAAGAAACATCTTCCTTGTGCCAAATGAACAGGCCAACTGGGGCTCAGCAAAGGGTACAAGGTTCAGCAATCTCTGTGCTAGTAGGGGTAGCTGGCAGTCTGGATACTTACAGGGCACTCCCTGGTCTGAGTGAGTGTAGCTTTAAACTCAGCCGAGCAGGCTGCCAAGTGGCCGGTATGCTAAGCCCTGGGGCTAAGGGTAAGGGTGGGGAAAGAGATTAAGAGAGAAAAGGATCAGTACCTTGCCCCCAGGGGATATCCTAATCAGATGCAGGTCATTAGATACACAGCATAGCGGAGGGGAAAAAACACACAGTGATTTACATGAACTTCTGAATGTTGACTTAAATATTCATTACTCCTCCTGCACCTGGCCTGGCGAGGCTGATCCTGGTAGCTTGCATCTTGGGAGTCCCTGCCCATCTGTGTAAACGTCTCACCCCACCCCTTCTATCCTAGTCCTTCCTGGTCCAGCATCCTGTCTTCCTCCGTGTCTCCGCCTGTCCTGCACATTTGCATGCCATCAAGGCTCAGAGGGTCTGAGAGTCGGGCTCCCTGATTGAGGCTAGCCAGGCCGACTCAGGCAGGATGTCTGAGTGGCCAGCCTGTCCTGTAACAAGGGGAGCAAGGCCAGGCAACTGGACAGTGGACTGAGCAGAGCAAGTGGCTGGACTCTGTCTAGCTCAGATGAGGTCCCAAGCTGTTGCTCACTGGTATGTGCATTTGATTTTGCTTCATTACATATTTGAGTCCAGCACAGCAGCAAAAAGCAAAGATGATATTTGAAAATAGAGTTCCATCCTAGGGAAGACTGCCAAAACCAGGGCAGCCTGCTTTCAGAGTTTGACTTCTCCAGGTGCTAAGCCCTAGGGCTGTGGGTGAGGGTTCAGGCCCTGCCCTCAGGGATGTCCTAATCTGATTTGGGATATTAAGCACACGACAGAATAATGATTGATACTGGGTATGCTTCTGAACCTAAATACTCATTTCTCTTTTCTTGCACTTGGTGGAAAGGCTCATCTTGATAGCTTGCTTTCCAGTGATGAAGCACTCAGCCCTGGCAAGTCTTCCCAGACTCCTCCCAGCGAGAGCTGGAGTGGGCAGGTTGATGAGCCCAGCTCTGAGTACATATTGTCCACTTCTCTCACAGGCTGGCTGGAAATTACTGTCTGCAAACCACATAGGGAAAGGAAGTATTTTCACTTTCTGAAGTCTGTGGGTGTGTGTCGATATCCTTCAAAAATACACATTCTCTTTCCTGTGGATGGACTCCAGAGCCAAGTCCATGCAATCCACAGATCTCTGTGTTTCATTAAAGCAAGAACTCGTGAGCATCTCTGGGCCCTGACCACTGGTCACTTAGACAACCACAGGCAGTCACTTTAGTCTGCAGACTTGAGTGCGCTATAGCAGTTCAGGAAGGAAATTGAAGGAAACCACTGGGAAGGCTGACAGCCTCTCTGACCCTCACCAGAAAAATCCCAATGGGAAGTTAATCACCTCCTTGAAGTGTCTGAAGCCAAAGAGACCTGAGGGGCTACAAACACATAACCCTGGACTCCAAGAGGCCCATCAGCCCTTCTGTGCTGGGGGCGGGATGGGGTAAGGCAGGAGGATGGTGGAAGCTTAGAGTGGGCCAGCAGTCAGATAGCAGCCTGCCTCGGACCTCAGGAGAGCAGGGAGCAGGGCCTCAGGGGCCCTGAATGCAGTCAGCTTCTGCTGTGTTTGGGAGAAGCATCTCTTTGGTGGGCCAGGATGGGGCAAGGGGTGGAGAGGTGTCAAATGGTGCTTAAGTGAGAACAGCCAAGCCAAACTGTATTTGGGGAAAATCCATCCCCGTTATATTTGTTAATCTATCCCTATTTCTAGAACATAATTCTTCTGCAGACTTTGAGTGACTGGCCTTTCTTCCCTGGCCAAACCCAATTCCTCCCAGTTAGAATTAGGAGTCATGAGAGCTGTCTGCTTTGCAGGTGTATTGCCCGCTTCTGAGTGGGTGTTGCCGGGAGAGGTGTGGAAGGCACACAAAACACGTCTTCTAGTCCAGTGTAAGAGGCGTGGGGGCCGGACGAGAGGATGCTGTTCTGGCTCCCGTCAGTTACAGCTGAGAGTGGCAAGTGTAAACGCACCCTGGTCTTTGCACACAGATATTACTGGATCCGTTAGGAATCTTGAAACAAGTTTAACAGACCGATTGAGTATGGTGTTGACAGTCAAATATAATTGCTCTGGGGCCTTGCTAAAATGCCTTCCTCTCAGAGTCCAGGTCATGGAGTCCCATTATAAGTGTGATCATTATGTCCTAAATTTCTTTTGGTCCTTGAGAAACTAAATCACTTTGATGGGATGTGGTTGAGCCCACCTTACCCCAGATCCCACTTGGTTTTGAACAGCCTTCTGTGTCCAAACTTCACAGGAAATTCTTTCACCTTTTCGGTAAGGACGGAAGGTAACATTTGAACTTCACCTGGTACGTCAGGAATGAAAAGCCACATTTGCTTCCTAATTGCCCATGTGGCCCCTTTCCCCTGGAATGATGACTTTCTTTCCCAAGAGGAAGGAAGTCTTGTGGAGACAGCTGTCAGGGTGCATCAGAACAAGCACCAGGAAGATGGTGGTGCAACTAGGCCATTGACTAGGTCGTTGCAGACGCACAAACCAACCTCCTTGCAAAAGGTGGGTAGAACTATCCAAACACATGTTGAAGTAATTCCTTCATCCCAGTGCCCAGTTCTAGCACACGGGCAAGCCAGTATCCATATGACCCCTAGCTGATATCAGGGGAAAAACCTAAATCAGTATGCCAGGTTAACTGTATTATAGTAAGATTAAATTCACCCATTAATCAATAAGTAGTCACTGACTACTTGTTATGTGACCAGCATTGTGCCAAGTACTACGAGGCTAAAAGAGATCCCCCGTTCTCAAGACTTTAATAGTATAATTGGAAACCAGGACCCAGGAAATAGAACAATTAAATGTTCCACTGCATGGCGCAGCTGGGGGTGAAATCGGAGTTTGGAGATGGTGTGAGTTGGAGCAAGGGGAGATTCAGGGAGGAGGGGTAGAGTGTGCAAAGGTGGCAGTGAGCTAGGAGGGCGACAGCCTGGGCTTTCTTGGGCAGGAGGGGCAGGATGCACGGAAAGGAGACTGGAGCTCCCAGAAGGCCAGGCTCAGAAGCTGAGCCCACACAGTGGAGAGTAATGAAAGGTGGCACCATTGGAAGCCTCCTAGGAAGGTGGTAACGGGATGTCTCATTGTATCCACAGGAAGTGGCAGGCAGGCACAGGTGAGGGGACCCCTGGAATAGAATGGAACAGTGAGAGGAATATGGGAAGTGTTTTGGAAGAAGTGGCAGCTCTTAGAGATGGGCACAGTGGTGTGGCCTGTGGCAGCAGCAGGAGAGCTGGGAGAATCAAGGCAGGGGGCAGGAAGATGCAGGTTGAATTTCAAGCGCATGCATCCAAGGAGAGCTGTAGGAGGAGGCTCTGGGCTTACGGTTGTGGAGGTGGCTGGAGGGATGATGGGGATGAATAAAGGGTCACTGGTGCTGATGAGAGTTAAGGAGGTGGAGGTCAGCTTGGGAGAGGCCCACTCAGTGGTAACAGCTGAAGCGCTAAGAATAGAGGGGCTTGAAGTCAGCTTGCTGGGGGTACAGAAGAGTTGTCGGGAGCTGGAGGGGGTGGAAGAGCATAGAGCGTACCAATTAAGAGGGCAGCATGTGAGCTGGAGCTGAAAAGTGTGGCAAGTTCCTCAAGGGTTTTTTTTTTTAAGACACAGGAACACTTAGGACTTTGAGACCAGCCTCCACAACATAGCAAGACCCTGTCTTTACTAAAATTAAAAAAACAATTAGCTAGGCATGGTGACATGCACTCGTAGTCCCAGCTACTTGAGAGGCTGAGATAGGAGGATCACTTAAGCCCAGGAGATTGAGGTTGCAGTGAGCTATGATAACACCACTGCACTCCAACCTGGGCAATAGAGAGAGACTCTGTCTCAGAAAGAGAAGAGAAGAGGAGGGAAGGGGAAGGGAGAGTAGGGGAGGGGAGTGGGATGGGAGGAGAAGGGGAGAGGATTGGGGGGAAGAGAAAAAAGAAAGGGAGGGAGGGAAGGAAGGAAGGAAGGATTAAATAGATAATGATAGATCTATATATATTAAATGGTTATAAATGCTATGAAATAAGAGATAGCAGCTGGGTGGGAGTTGGGGAGAGGGGCTTTGTTTAAGCTGGGAAGGTTCAGGAAGACCTCTCTAGGAGGTGCCAGTTGCCAAGGCAGCCATTAGAAGAAAAAGCAGCAGATGCAAAGGCCCTGCAGTAGGAATGAGAGCGGCCAGCATGGCTGGAGCATAAAGCATGAGGACAGGGTGGTGGGAGGTAGGACTAGAGAGATGGCCAGGGCCTGCTCTGATGGAGCCCGACAGGTCAGGATAAGGAATGGAGAGTTTTCTTCAATAACAATAAGAAGCTTTGGAGGGTTAAAGCAAGGAAGTGATTCAGTCCTACGTGGGGGGTTGGAAAGATCACTCTGACACTGTGGCGGGGGCCTGCTGGGAGCAGGAGTGGAAGCAGGGATGGGACTTTTCTCTGCAGCCTACCTAGATCATGGTACTCACAAGCCTTGTTCTCGCAGGCCTCACCTGCTTTTCAGCCCGGGGCGCCCTGGGCAACCAGAGTGCAGAGGACACGTGTTCATCAGTCTTCACCCCGTACTGGCAACTTTCTTGGTGCAATGCCCTTGACTGGGCACTGGGAAGGCTGTAAAATCAGTCTTCACCCCGTACTGGGAACTTTCTTGGTGCAATGCCCTTGACTGGGCACTGGGAAGGCTGTAAAAACAGTTTCTGCCCCCAAGAGGAGCAAAGGGTGGGCTTGCACCCAGATAACTGCCCCACAAATGGCATGTGCTGAAGACCTGGGGGCGCAGGTGCTGTGGCCCTCATGCTTTTCCCCGTGCTCCTGGAAGGAGGCTCAGTGCCTTGGCGCCAGCTCCATGGTTCTTGGGGCTCCTGCTGTTGTGTGCCTCTCCCCAGGTGTCTCTGGGCTGGCTGGTTCCAGGGTTACTCTGGGTGTATTCAGTTCCTTTGATCCTTCCCTTCTGTCACAGTCTCACGTTCTGTGACAGGCTGCATTTCAGGAGGGGTCGCTTTTGTTCTCCAGCCGGTAGAAAGGAGAAGGGTGAGTTGGTACTGACCACACCCCCCCTCCCAAACCCAAACCCAGCCATTGGGTCATCAAGGACACCCTCAGGTGACTCCTTAGCACCTGTACTTCAGGCCGTCCTGCAGGCCTTTTAAATCACAAAGGGATCTGCCCACTTTGAAACAGGTCTGCACATACGCTGGGCATGGACAGAGAGGGACTCACTGTCACAGGGGTTGGAGGGGGAACATCGGCTTGTCACAGACCACCGGGGGGGTCACCCTGTGTGGAGTAGCCTGGAAGTGGCATGGAGTGAGCAGAAGGCACAGCCCCAGCCCCACATCGCTGCTGGCCTGGCTAGGGGTACCCACACCAGGATTGCCTTTGCTGTCAGGAAGCGCAGGATCCACTAGAGAGATGTGAAAAGATGACAGGGCATCCTGGGCCTCCACTTGGTCCAGTCCCCACCCTCAGGAAGCCTGGATGGCTTCAGAGCCATGCTGGTGGGCAGGGATGCTGCCGTGTGCCTGTGCAGGCCTGCGAAGGTGTTCTCATAGCAGGTTTTTGCAACGTGGCCACGGCCTGCACTCCCTGATGGGTAGCTTGCCGGCTCCCATTTCTCCACCCTGGACTCATCCATGGGGAATCATACTTCCATGGCCAATCCGTGGCCATCCCTCAGTCCCCATTAGGCTGTGACCAGCCCTCTGGTTTCCAAGAATGCCGTGCTTCATCCCTATGACACTTTCCCCTTCCTAAAGGACCTGTTCAACCTTCTGCTTATTTGCTCCTTGTACCCCTTTCCTTTGCCTCTTTTCTGATCTTTTGACCTTGGCTCTTTAATTATTTTCTTTTTGTCCTTTAGCAGGGTAGTTTGGGCCAGGGGGCTGCTAGGTGGTAGTGTTAGGCTCCAGGAGAAACATCCACATGAGATAGCTGAAGTTCTTCCCTCCATCTCCCTCCTCACCATCTCCCCCATGAAATCATTCACGGGTTTGCTTCCGGCCCTCCCCGCCAGCTTACACCAACAACCAAGCGGACATCGCCACCCAGGGCTGGTTCATTGGGCTTATGTGCGCCATCGCCCTCCTGGTGCTGATCCTGCTCATCGTCTGTTTCATCAAGAGGAGTCGCGGCGGCAAGTACCCAGGTGAGATGTGCAAGAGGCGTGGGCTTGCAGGGTGGGGCACGTCCACTTTCCCGTGAGTCTCCAGGTCTCCAGCCAGATCCGGGGAATGTGTTCTCTCAGTGAAGCCAGCCCTTGCCCGGATTGGAAATACAATCCTCTTGCCTGTGCATCTTCAGACTGCCAGCGAGCACTTGAGTTAATTAAGTTCGCCTGAGTTGGGCGGATGGCACAGTCCAGGCGGCCTCAGAGAGGGGATGGAAGGAACCCTGGCTCCTATTAAGAATGACCTTTCCTCCCCTTGACTCACCACCCATCTGTTCTATAAATTGGCTTTTTTTCAGCCTGAATCTCATTAGGATCCTGTGTCCCAGGGAAGGAGAAAGGAAGAGAGGCATTTTCCCTAACCGTGTCCCAGAGAATGGGGAGAGGAGGGGCCTGGGCAGAAGCAGCACCCACATGAGAGAGTTCCAGAGGTGGGCGCTCAGCAGGACAACAGTGTAACTGCCAATACCACTAGCAAGGGTCAGAAGCGAGGAGCAGGGAGAGGCTGAAGATGGGTGGCACTGGTAGGGACCCCCATGGCCCTAAAGCACTTTGGGCTTCCCTAAAATCCCAAGGATACCTCAAGATCCTTCAGCCCCTAGCCAGGCACAATGACTCACACCTGTAATCCCAGCACTTCGGGAGGCCAAGGTGAGCAGGTCACTTAAGGTCAGGAGTTTGAGGCCAGCCCAACCAACATGACGAAACTCCGTCTCTACTAAATATACAAAAATTAGCTGGGTGTGGTGGCAGGTGTCGGAGGTCCCAGCTATTCAACAGGCTGAGGTGGGAGGATTACCTGAGCCTGGAGAGGTCAAGGCTGCCATGAGGCGTGATTGTGCCACTGCACTCCAGCCTGGGTGACAGAGACCCTGTCTCAAATAAATAAAATTTTTTAAAAGATCCTCCAGGCCGGGCGCAGTGGCTCACACCTGTAATCCCAGCACTTTGCGAGGCTGAGGCAGGCAGATCACTTGAGGTCAGGAGTTCGAGACCAGCCTGGCCAACATGGTGAAACCCAATCTCTACCAAAAATACAAAAAATTAGCTGGGTGTTTTGGCACGTGCCTATAATCCCAGCTACTCAGGAGGCTGAGGCAGGAGAATCACTTGAACCTGGGAGGCAGAGGTTGCAGTGAGCCGAAATCGTGCCACTGCACTCCAGCCTGGGCGGCAGAGCAAGACTCCGTCTCAAAAAAGGAAAAAAAAAAAAAAAGATCCTGCAGCCCAGACATAACCAAGGTCAAGGATAAGGACCTCTGGCATTCTTGTTTCTGGAAATATTGACTGTTTTTTACACAGGAGCAAGAGAGCCATCTGTCTGTGATGGGGTGGGTAGGGACAGGAGACAGGATAATGGATGACCCTGAAAGCAAAGATCTGGCTGGACCACAGAATGCAATTTCTCCCTGCTCCAGAAAGCCCCATCACCAAACACAACCCATGCTCCCCAAATGCTTCCTTCTCCCCATCTCTTAGAACAGGTCCTCCCCCAGGACCCCCCCCAAAACTCAACACAAAGGAAATAGAAGGGAGAGGAGACTGGATTCTTTTTCATTCCCCATGCCCAAGTACCCACAGACTAGGACTCTGAAGAGCTGTGCCTTAAGTGAGGGAGGGCAGGAAATGATTGTCCCTTACTGGTGAGCGATGTTTTCTTTCACTCTGTTCTGCTGTGCTGGGCCTGTCTGGTTCTGTAACAGAGAAAGCCTGAGTTAGGGAAAAGGCTGCCTCCTCCGTCTGACAGTCAGACTTGGGTGGACTGAGTTCACGCCCATTCCAGGTGGAAGTGGAATACTGGAAGAACCCAGCAGATCAACTCTGAGCTGCCCTTTGCCCTTTCAGAAAGTATCTCATTCCAAACAGTTCTTCGAAACTAACCTCTTGCCCTCCAGCTACAGAGTAAGCCCCTGGTCCCTTAAAAAGATGAGTGAACCAGGAGCTACAAGGCCTGGTTGCTAGCCTTCCCTCCAGTCTTCATTCAGTCACTAATTAGTTACGTGACATGCTCTTCAACTCTCAACGGTTCGGTTTCCCTCATCTAAAATGGGGATGATTATCTACCTTGTGTCTCAAAAAGGACACATAGGCCGGGCGCGGTGGCTCACGCCTGTAATCCCAGCACTTTGGGAGGCTGAATGGGTGGATCACCTGAGGTCGGGAGTTCAAGACCAGCCTGGCCAACATGGTAAAACCTCGTCTCTACTAAAAATACAAAAATGAGCCAGGCGCGGTGGCAGGCGCCTATAATCCCAGCTATTTGGGAGGCTGGGGCATGAGAATCGCTTGAACCCGGGAGGCAGAGGTTGCAGTGAGCCAAGATAGCACCACTGCAAAAAAACAAACAAAAAAAGATACATAAAGAGGTTTTCATGTAAGTGCCCGCTGTGCATCCGCCTCTGTGCTGTGCACTAGCGATACTGGAGGAAAAATGATCTCTCCTCAAGGGCACCGTAGCTGACACCGAAAGAATGAGCACAGAACAAGGCAGAGCCTCGGCTGAATGCTCACACATCACAGAGGAAGTGGAGGAAAGGGGGCACGCCAACAAGGGGGTCACAGAGAAGAGACACTTTCCATCCCATAGGTGTGTACGGCGTGTCTTCTCTGCTCAGGGCACTCTGCTAGGAACTGTGAAGAAGCACACAGACCCCCACCCTTGAGGAAAGAACTAGCCTTCTGTGATAGGCATGAAAAAACGTCCACAAATAGTTACACCACAGAGCAGAGTAAGAAAGGTGCAAACAGTGGAGTGTTTGCCTTTGGCAAAGGAAATGATCACATCTGTTTGGTCTTTTGGGGAGACTTCATGGAGATGTGGTGGGGGGAGCTTGGTAGGAGGAGATTTCAGTTGTCAGTAGAGATGTAAAGAGACCCCTGGGGCTGAGAAGGAGGAGGCAGAGTCAACTTGGCAACTGATTGAGTACAGGAAGCAAAAACAAGGGAGGCGTGGATGGTGCCTTGTTAAAAAAGAGTGTCAGTGAGCCCAGGGCGGTGCCTTCTGGCCCTGCATTCAGTGGAGCCCTAGAGAGCAGGGGCATGTACTTAATCGTCGTGTCTGTGTCTTTGCTTCTCCTTTTGACCAAGTACGAGAAAAGAAGGATGTTCCCCTTGGCCCTGAAGACCCCAAGGAAGAGGATGGCTCATTTGACTATAGGTGCGTGATCTCCCTCCTCCTCTCTCAGGCAGGCTGTCCTCCCTGTCCCTGAGGCACCACCCTCCCCTCAGAGTAGCTCCGCTTGGCTGAGAGGCCATGAGTAGCTGTCCTTGCCCATTGGGCTGTGACTCTGCCTCTCTGGTGGCGCTGTGGTGGAGAGTGCATGCTGCTGAGTTTACTCAGAGGCTTCTCATCCTGAGAGTGCCAGACGAGGCTGCTCCCCCAGGAGTCACTGCCCGACACATGCGTGCATTAGTTTGACGAACAGCATTTCATTCATTCAACTGCACAACTCAAATGTATCAAGCTTGCTATGTATGTCTTTCCACCTTTTCACTCTGAACATGAGCCCCAGGACCCTCTTGCCGTGAGATGAGCTCAGCTCTCATGCTGATTCTCTGCCCACACTCCATTCCTAACCCTGAAGATAATGACCCTGGGAGGCTGTGATGTCTTAAAGCCTCAAGGAATGAAGGTGGGGTGATTCCAGGTCGTTTCTCCTTGAACTTGGCGATATCTTTGGGCTCTAGACTGGAATGGGCCTTGGAAAGGCTTCTGGTCCAGTGCCCTATGCCCCAGATGAGAGGACTGAGGCCCAGACCAGGAAGCGAATTGTCTAAGACTCTTCCAAGGTCCCCACCCAGTGAGTTAGTGGCAAAGCTGGAAAGGCCAGGTCCCGCATTTCCAGCTGGTGCTGCTATTCTATACTTCTATACCCATGCTCCTGTCCTACCTGGATGCATCTTTGTATGTGGGCTTAACAACATTGTTGTGGGTCCATGGAGATGGCGAGTATGTTCTGAGCTGAAGGATGATGCAGAGTGGGCTGTGGAGTGTCATTCCCAGACCAAGTGCTATGGGAGGGAATGTCTGATCAGAGCCCTCCCTCCTCATGCCACCCAGTTACTGCCTGGGCCCAGGTCCCCTTGTCCTCTGCTACAGTCTCCTTTTCCTGTCCTGGGCCTCTGCCACTCTGCCCATCAGCCTGGCAAGCACAATCAGATCAATGTGTGGTGGAGCCACTGCCCACACAGGAGCCTGTCTGCAGGCTTATGGGCCATGACTGTCCACCTAGTCCCGACATTCCCAGAAGCATCCTGAAAGGGCAGGCACAAGAGCCCCCTTCCCATCTTCCCTGGCAGGGCTTCCCTGACACAGCTTCCCTGTGGGCTGAGACTTCCCTGGCTTTTTGTTCCAAAAGCCACAGGGCTTCTCCTCCCCCAGACTCTTGGTGCAGCCAGAGAGGAGGAGCTTGGACCTCCTCCAATACAAGGCTGGGCAGCCTGTACTGCGAGGAGTTGCTTCCTTATGCACCTCTCCTGCCCCAGACACCAAAGCTGTCAGGCAAAAACCCCTGCCTCCTCCCCGCAGACACTGACCCTGGGTCTACACGCACAGGAGCATGCCTGGGCCTGCACCCCTACACGCACACACCCCTCTGCTTTGGCTCTGGAAGGTCCGCAGCATCCATCCTAGAGCCCTCCCTTGGATGAGTCTAAGAGCCCTAACCTGGGAAAAGGCTGAAATTAATACATCAGAGAAAGAACTAAGTTTCTAGAGAGGATAGGCCTAGGGGCGAGGAGTGCTGTTCTCTCACTCCAGTCTGTGGCTAAGTGGCCGACCACCTTTCCCATGGGGCACCCTCTGTTTTTCTCCCCTATATCCATCCACCTAGACCTTGAAGATGTCTCAGAAGTGAGGCTGACAGGTGGCCAGACCAGGGCCACCCCTAGTCATTCTAGTTTCTTTCAAGCTTCCCTTAGGAGAGGTCTGTTCGGTCTGTTCTTTTCAGACCTAGATCCCCCGTCCCCTCAACAGCCTGGCATGCTACAGATCTCTTCCCCCGCCCCTTCCACTGGCTGGGCTGTTGCTGCCCAGTGGCTGCACTTAGCTTAGCTGCCTGGAAACAGAGGAGGAATTCCCACAAATCCCATAGCACAGTCCTCATGCCCCTGCACATGGGATAGAGGGCCCTGGAAAGGAGTGCATGCGAATAAGACCTGCAAGTGGGGTGAGGAGCCTGGCGATTTCCCTCCTCCAGTTGGCAAACAGTGACTTCCGCTTCCTGCACAAACTCAGCACAGCCCCAGAGAGCTGCCTCCCTCACACCATCTCCCAACCCACGGCTGTCCCACGAATACAGTTAGGCTGTATTCGTGGGGCAGCACTGTGGGGAGTGGGCTAATAGCTTTCAATCTTCTAACACAGCCCCGGCTCTGGCTCGCTGCCCTCACCTGACAGCTGTCTTTGCCCGACACTGCTATTAGAAGTGAGAACGCACTGCCCACTATAATGGCAACTCAGCTGGTTGTCTTCCCCACGTCCAGGAAGGACTGGGGGTGGGTGGGGAGCTGGGGGCAAGGCAGTGTGTGGTGTGTGTCTGCTCAGACCGCCTGGCACCGCTATGGTCCCACCACTGAGACCCAGACTCCCACTGCTCAGACCCAGACTCCCACTGCTCATCCTGAGCTGCCTCCTGCCCAGGAACTGGGCTAACCTCTGAAGTGCAGCCAGCACCACCTGGTCCCCACTCTGAGCCTTTCCAGCCAAGGGAAGGGACATGGTGCCTGAACAGACGCTGGCTCAGAGAGCAGCCCCGCGCCTCCTCAGGAGCACAGCAGACATCCCAACTGGGTGGCTGTTCCCAGCGGCCCGTGCAGCTTTACTCGGCAGCCTCCCAGCTCTCCCTGCACAAGGGGAGCTTAGGGTCAGGGCCTATGGGCCTCAGAAGGGGCTGGGCATGATCCTCTGAGCCTTGCTGTCTTCTCACGTTTGCTGGCATCACCTGCTTACCTGTGTGCCCCCCCACCACCACCACTCTTGCGCACCTGTGCTTGCTAGGCCCAAAGCAATAACATCTTTTTATAGATCAACCAGATAGCTCAGCGAAAGACACCAAGACAGACAAGCAGAGAGGTGAGGGAGAGGTTTGTTCCTTTAAAAGCCTTGCTTGTTGTCAAGGCGAGAGTGTTTCCCTACAGAGTCACAGGTCTTGGGAGATCAAAGCTGGGCCAGCCCCTCTTGATGGACAGACTGAGGCCCAGGTCACAAAACCACACAGTGACACACTCGGGACTAGAACCATTCCATGTGGTCTCACAAGCAGTGGCTCTGCCTCACCATGGGGTGGCCATCCTCTGTCCACTTCCACCACACACAGGGACCCAATCTCATGGAAAAGACCCAGAACAGGAGCCCAAAAGCATGGGCTCCACTCCCTGCCCTGCCCTGACCTGCAACCTCACCTTAGAGAAGGTGCTTGTCCTCTCTAGGCCTCCATTTCCCTTCTGCAAAGCAGGCTGGACAGGGGAGGGTGAAGCGGGGGCTGGACTGGGCGGTCTCCTGGATCCCATCCTCTCTGAGCTGTGTAGGGCATGTGCTGGCAGGAGGCCAGCTGCCCCATCTCACCCCACCTGAGATTCTCTGTCTCTCTTTGGCCAGTGATGAGGACAACAAGCCCCTGCAGGGCAGTCAGACATCTCTGGACGGCACCATCAAGCAGCAGGAGAGTGACGACAGCCTGGTGGACTATGGCGAGGGTGGCGAGGGTCAGTTCAATGAAGACGGCTCCTTCATCGGCCAGTACACGGTCAAAAAGGACAAGGAGGAAACAGAGGGCAACGAAAGCTCAGAGGCCACGTCACCTGTCAATGCTATCTACTCTCTGGCCTAACGGAGCCCACCCAGGCACAGCCACCACTTTGCAAGTGGGAGGAGGGGAGAAGGGGAGACAAAACCACTGCAGACCTACCACGAAGCCACCACCACCTTCAGTAACAAGGGTACGATATGGGGGTCTGCCAAGCTGTGAGGACCAGTAGCCACCAAGCCACCCACAAGCCCCCTCCCAATGACCCCCCTTCAGCCCCGGGTGCCACCAGTGTGGGAGAGCTGGAGCCGTGGCTGAGCTCAGCTGGAGGGAGCCTGGCCCCTTGCCCGGTCTCGCAGCCACCCCGAGCGTTCCACCACACTGTCCGCCCTTGGCCTCGGCACACGCTCACCTTTTCTGTTGGTTACGGGACTTCTCATTGTCTTAATTTCGCTTTGTGCATCTTCCCCTCCAGACCCAATGTCTCTGTTTTCTTTTCCTTTTGAAAAAGAGTCCCTGGAAAAGAAAGAATAAGTGGATTCTCCCCCAGGAGAATCCTTTTTGCAAAGATAGGCAAAAAGGATTGAATCCATACCAGAACACGTAGACAGGCTGTAATATTCAAACCACCTCTGGGCCAATGCATTTCCAAAGGATGCCTTTCTCGCCATATGCCTCCCCTGGCCCCCAGCCCCTCTGCCTCGGCCTTGTCAGTTGCTGAGCTGGGCTTGGCTCCTTTCTGGAAAATGACAGTATTTTTGGCAGGGAGAAGGTGCGCAGGCCTCCTTGCTGCTCTCTGGTTTGGTTGGGAGGTGTGTTTACCTCTTGCTCCTCATTCCTCCCCTGCCCTTTTCTCTGGAATATCTAAGATGTGAGCTGCATTGACTCTGAAGACGTTTGAGGAACAGGAGTGGGCACTGATAGAAAGGACTTCAACGCCAGTGACTGTGTACCTCCAGCAGAAGAAAATCAGGTGTCTGGTCTTGGGGGCACTGTGCTCACTTCTAGAGAGAAGAAAAAGGCTGGGTTTGGACTTCATGCCTCCTCACTGGTGAAACCCAGGATGTAGATAGAGGGCCACACCCACCCTGTCCAGAGTAGAGGGCACCTGTCCACGTGGCCAGGGCCCATGCTGCCACCCTCGAGGAGATGGAACCCTGTGATGCAAAAGCTTTGCTGGTGTGTTTGGGGCATAAGGCACTGCTCCCCTTCCATCTCTAGCAGATATCATCTTCTCAGCCAATTCTGTAGGACACTGAGGCTCTTGTTTGACATGGTGTGTGGATGGGGACTTGCCCCAAGACTGAGCAGGTCTGCCCTTTCATTGGGGTGTATACATATCAGGGGACCCTGAGGTGGCACCGTACTCAGTGTTGTGATGCCCCCACCTAGGGAGGACTCAATGCTCTTTGTATGCCTTATGCAGCGCTGATCTGTCCCTGGAGTTCCCAGGTTCCCAGCTCCCCCCCTGCAAGCCTTGAAGCCTCCAGCAACGTCTATCTCCAGGAGAGCAGGGCAGCCTATGCAAGTGTTCCGGCAGGACCAGAAGTGGCCACTCAACACACGTCCTCACCAGTCACCCCAAATGGAGACACTCGCAGACCTGCAGTTCTCAGACCGAAGGTGCTGCCTTCATCCTCCCCACCTAATGCATTTTTGAAACCAAAGGTACCTAGCCTCAGAGACAGAGAAGGAGAGGGGGAGATCTTGAGTCTAAGAGGAACCCTTTAGCTGTTTCTGCAGCTGAGGTCAGTTTCAGGAGGGTGAAGCTGATCCCCAGGAATGGATCAGCTGCCATGGGCACAGCCTCCGATTTGAGCCTCTCCGGCTGCCAGCCAGGGGGCCTGGGCCAGACCAGGGCTCTGTCCTTCCGTGACTTTATTAAAGCAACATTTGCCACATGTTTAAGCCGCAAAGGTATTAGCAATGCTTGCATCATTAATAATCATTCAGTTGAAGGTCAAGCCCATAGACACACACTCTCTGCTGGTAAGAAACCATAGCCCAGAACTGAGCCAATAAGGTTGTTTGAACCTGAGAGTGTGTAATGGTCATTTGGGCCAAGCCTCAGCTAGGGCTGCTGCCTGGACGCCTGAGGGGCAGCTTATCACAGTGCAAGGGGACAGGGTAAACAGCAGGGGGTGGGGTGTGAGCTTGGAGGGCCCCTCCCCTGGATTTCCTCCAACACCTGCTTGGATACTAGGCCCACTGTCCCTGAAGGGAATGTCAGGGAAGTGTGCCTGTGAGCTGAATTAAAGGACTGGCCTTTCCAGAAAACGCTTTGGATCTGAGCAGAGTAGTCAGTTTCTCAGACACTCATTCCATACTGCACCGTACATGCCAGCGTACCCATTGCACCGAAAGCAGGCCCTTAGGGCAGGAAGGGACGATGAGCAAGTCTGCCACACCACCTGGTGACTGGGAAGGGCTGCTTCTCTCGTAAGGGTCTTGGGGAGAAGTAAGCCCGCAGCCTGCCTCTGCACCTCGTTCCAGTGTCCTGCCAGGCTCTGTACTGTCCTTTGTGTATGAAGAAAATGCTGTTAGCCCTCTCTCAGGCTGCTGTTCTGTGGGTGCTGAGAGCTGCCCCCCATCACCACGCCATCACACCCCTCTGAGCAGAAGCAAATCTGAGGCTGAAGAATTAAGTTTTCCCCAAGCAAGGAAGGCAGGTGGTCAGAGAGATCAAACGCTGAGGCGTGGGGATTGCAGGATTCAGGAGGCAGCCCCTTTGGGGAAGAGGAGGGTGCATTTTCCATGGAGCCCATGTCAGAGTCCACTCCAGCTCAGCAGGAAAGTGGAATTGCCCAGTACTGCCTGCCAGCTGGGTCTCCCAAGCAACTACCCCAAGACATACCAACAGTGAAGCCAGGACAGCACCATGCCATCGGCGCTCCAGTCTGTCTGGCTGGGAGGAAAGTGCTGGGCATCTTACAGTAACTCTAGAAGTTCCTTTGACTAGGCTGCAATCCCACCTATATGCTCAGCCCTAAGAGCTGTGGTTTCCTGTGCTCTCATTTGTCCATTCATTCATTCATTCATTCATTCAGCAAATAATCTGAAATCCAGTCTGAACTAAGGCCTGAGCTGTGGATACCATGGCGCGTGAGTTAGATGTGGTCCCTGCCCTCATGGGGCTGACAGTCCTAAAATCAAGTGCTAGGACACAGTGGCCATTGAGCTGGGAGCATTCTTCCCTCTACCGCTTAAGCCACTGATGGCTGCGAGCTTGAAGAGAGGGATTCTGAGGGAGAGCTTGGTCCATCTGGTCACCAAGGCTGGGCGGGACAGAGCAGTCAAGAACCACGGTGTGGCTTGAGAAACAGTCCTGCTTCCTGAGCCTCTTTGCTCTGCCTCTTGGGGCAAGCTCCTTAACCTGTCTGTATTTTTATGCCTCTGTCTCCCATTCAGTTCCTCCTTGAATACCTCTTTCTACAGAGAGGCACGGGCTCCCCTGAAGGATTGTCGAGGCCAGGGTTCGGGAAGTACACTGCCATCGGTCAGGGGACAGCTGCCTCCCACCTTGCCTGGGTGATGGTGAATGGGACTCATCTTTTCCTGCCTTGCTTTTGAGGAGATGGTTGAATTTAAGCTAACAGGAAAGCCAAACCAGCACCCTCCTTTGTGCTCTGAGAGGTTGGAGACATCTGGTCCACCCCATTGCCCCTGCCCCTGGCAAGCCCTGAAGTCGGGAGAGGTGACCACAGGTCTGAAAATCAGCCAGTGCCAACATTGCTTGCCCTGCAAGGTGCAACTGAGCCCACATAGCGCATTCATAGTTTCCCTGACCACAGCCTTGGGAAGACGGTGGAAACCCGAGGATGTGTGGGTTTCCCAGCTAACGGACAAGCTCCCCTGCCACACCCAGTGCCCACGCATGCTCACATACATACAGCAGACCACAACCCTGTTGCCAAGCAGTGCTTCCAAGGGATAGCGATCCAGATTCCAACATTGTCTTGGAGAGGGTTAGTCCACATCCAAGTTGCGTGAGATAAGATGCAAAGGGCTCTGTGTGGATGAGGAACGCACCTTAGAGGAGTGGGAAAGGCCACCAGGGTTGGGCCCTGTTTAGGTAATTCCTGTTGGCAGCACCTAGAGAGAGCATCTGAGCTGAAGGAGTGGGAAACTTTGCCCAAGCAATGGCACGGGCAGCGGGCTCTTTCTGGCGCCCTGTGCTGGAGCAGGGCCAAGTCTTAGGGCATCACAAACAGCCCATTTGATGGAGGGAGCAGGGACATAGCACATTTTTGTCTGTCTTTGTGAGGCTGCTTTGCTAACTCTCTGAGGAGAGGAAGCCTCTCGGGCTTTCCGTCGGCTGGGGCTAGTGCCAGAGAATCCCTTCTCAGTGGCCAGCAGGTTCCTGGGAGGCCGGCACAAGGCACCGCTCCCCACTCATGACACCTTGGTGCAGAGTGACCTCCTGCCCAGTCACCACTCCGGCCAGCCCCAGCCAAACACACAAAAGCCCATGGTTGCGGTTGCATCTACACCGTTAGTTGGCAAAGGATCCTGCTTGAGCTCTGCGTGGTGGCCAAGGAGTAGCATGGAGGAGGGCCCTGATTTTAAAAAGGAAAAATAGAGAGGCCTCAAAACAATGAAACAAAGAGCTTGATATGTCAAGAGGAGACCAAGGCCCTGGGAGGCATAGGCAAGCCGGGCAGAGTCAGACCAGTGCCCTCCCTTGACCATCTCCTAGCATTCCTTAACCTAGACAGGGGCTACCCCATGTGAGTCCAAGCCAGACTTTGTGGCTGTCCCCAGCCTGCACAGCCCAAGCCCAGGGAAGTGTCCTTTCTTTCCCTTCCTTACTAATAATGGGCCTTCCTGAGACACATTCAGAGAAGGATCAGAGAGAAAGGAGAACCATCCAGGAGAGCCACAAGCGTCCACCAAACAGTGTCTCAGGCCTCACCTGAAGCTGCTGTTCCTCCTATCAGCACACTAGTATTAAATGGGTGTTCCATAATGAGGAGAATGGAAATAGGTACAAGGCATCTAGCTTAGGACAGAATCGGATTTCGGCATGTGAAGGAATCCCAGAGCTGATCTCATTGAAATGATCTATCGTACAGACAAGGATATGCAAATCCACAGAAGTGAAGGGATTTTTGCTCAAGATCACATAGCTGGTAAACTAAGGTAAGGTTAGGGCTTGAACTTGGGCCTTCTGACTCCTTGTCCAGTCAGTGTTCTTTCATCTCACCACAGCTGCCTCCTTTGAAACAGAGGTATTAAGATCTGTCCTTCTGGTTCACCCTCTCATACCTCTTTACTGCGTCTCCCACATCCCCCACATGCCTCCCAAAATGAAAGACAAACAGGATTGTTTCTGAGACCAAGATCAGTCTGTCTGTGATCAGCCTGTGTGTGGTTCACCCAGTCATGCAATTAAGGGCAGATCTGGGCCAGTGGAATAGGATAGCTGATTGGTGTTTGTTACTGTGAACCCTAGACCGTACCCCGTAGAATGGTGTCTCTTGCTTTGTAACACATCGGGCCTTCAGTGTGCTGTATTCCTCAGAAGTGAGGGCATCTCGGTCCATTCTGCCCATGGCCACAGGGTGCAGAGAGGCAGCAGGGCCCATGCAAGCTGCCACCCTGGGATTTGCTGGGCTGGAGTTCAACAGATGTAAAGACTTCAGTGAAGCAATAAACACAAAACTCTGGGAGAAGATATCCAGAATTTTGTACATTACTCTGTTTCTTTTTCAAAAATGAGGCAGATCAGATGCCCCTGAGCTGCCCCTTTTTTTCTGATTCCCAACTGCAATGTCCTCAGTCAGTGTTGTCCCTCTGCCCGGCTCCCCAGCTCTTTGCCAACCTCTTCACACTCCCCTTGAGCTGAGCATCAGTCGCCTGTGACGTGGCCACCTTCTGTCCTGCTCCCACTCCCGACCCATGCTGGACCCCGGAGGACCTCCTGCCCCGCCCCCACCACACACCCATATCCCCCACCATTCCAATTTGTTCTTTCCCGTGGGGAATTTTTTTTCCCAGCGTCTCCATCCCTTCCTACATATCCACACACACACAAATTGGTCTGATCTTTTTTCCATTGGTTAAACATTTAACTCCATGCCAGACCTTGTTTTAACCCCTCTCACATCATGTTCTTTCCTTTTTTGCGAGTTATTTTGCATTAACCAACTTTGTCAGTGACAGATGCGTATCTGAGGGTGTCACACACGACCTTCAGCAGGGAAGACTTCTGGGCCATGGAGGGCCGTCTAATACATGGACTTATAAACTGACTGCATGAGCAATGAAAAGGCCAAATTATTCTGAATTTTTTTTGAATCACTGTAAAAAAACTGATTTCTTTTGTATAGAGAACACTAAACGTATAATAAAAGTTGTTCAAAATGGACTCTTGCCATGTGATTTGCTCATTTTCTTGATTTGTTCCTGTTGGTAGGTAGGAGAGGGGTGTCAAAGAGCTGATGGCAAAAGTGGATCAAAGGGTTTTTCATGGGTGCCAGACAGCACACTCTTCCAGAATTCTACCATACCATCCCCCCTCTAGAAGTTGTTATTCTCGAAGACTCACTTGCACAATTTGTGTTTTAAACATAGTGTGACTGGTATAGGAATGTGTAATGTGTACAGTCGTGGAGACACCCTCTGATTCAACGTGATGCGTGTGCACATCCACCATTGAAAAAGTGCCATGCTAGGGAAGTCGGGAGAATGGGAGAAATTTGCCATGGTGCTCCGTCTCCTAGCCCCCTCCTCTTTCTGCACCGCTTGCCCTTAGGTCAAACATCAGCGTATGCCCAGCATTGTGCCTGGCACAAGGTAGACATTTCATATTGTTGAAAGAATAAATAAAACTGCTTACTACAAACCAAAAACCCCTCTCAGTAGACTCAAAGGAATCTTGATCAACAACCAAATAGGGGCCAGGCACGGTGGCTCACGCTTGTAATCCCAACAATTTGGGAGGCCGAGGTGGGTGGATCATTTAAGCTCAGAAGTTCGAGACCAGCCTGACCAACATGGTGAAACCCCGTCTCTACTAAAAATACAAAAAAAAAAAAAAAAAAAATTAGCTGGGTGATGTGGCGCATGCCTGTAGTCCCAGCTACTCTGGAGGCTGAGGCAGGAGAATCACTTGAACCCGAGAGGCAGAGGTTGCAGTGAGCCGAGATCGTGACACTACACTCCAGCCTGGGCCACAGAGCAAGACTCCGTCTCAAAAAAAAAAAAAAAAAAAAAGGAAGGGAAAAGAGACAGAGGGGGCCATGTTGATTGTTGAGAGGCAGTGCTCGCAGCTTTCACCATGTCCCCTGGATACTGCCACAACATGTCTGTAGCTGTGCTGGTTCTCACTGAGGAGTGGCCAAAGAGCCTCAACCAGGCAGGATAAGACATGAGGGACCCCCAGACACTGTAACCCCCCTCCCTTTCCTCGGGGTGGTGTGGGGGTTGGAGTGAGCACTGAGAGGTGGTTCTGCTCTTGTAGAAAGTTAACGGATAGTTTCTAGGCATAGGCTATAATGGGGAATGAGGGCAAATGAATTCCCCTGAAAATGCAGACCAAGTCTCTTGGACAAAGAACCACCGAGTAACTGTCCAACCCACCTGTCTTACTCTCCCTTCAAAGTCCTCAGAACAGACAGGGTGGGTGCAAAAAAGAAAAAAAAATGTCCCCAGAACAGATCATGGACTTGAGGGATTATAGCTTCATTAGGCTAAAATGGGGCCTTATTTCCAGGCCTGGCTCCTCCTGAAATGTTGGGTAACTTGGGGAAGTCACACACCTCTGAACCTCCCTATTTACTCCTTGAAATATGAGAACGATCCTTTCTCTCTCTCTCTCTCTTTTGTTTCTGAGGGGTTTCGTTTGTTTGTTTGTTTGTTTGTTTGTTTGTTTTGAAATAGGGTCTTGCTCTGTCACCCAGGCTGGAGTGCAGTGGTGCAATCACGGCTCACTGCAGCCTCGACCTCCCAGGCTCAAGCTATCCTCCCACCTCAGCCTCCCAAGTAGCTGGGATTACAGGTGCCCACCACCGTGCCCAGCTAATTTTTTTGGTATTTTTTCTAGAGACAGGGTCTCACTATGTTGCCTAGGCTGGTCTCGAACTCGTGGGCTCAAGCGATCCACCCTGCCTCAGCCTGCTAAAGTGCTGGGATTACAGGCCTGAACCACCGCGCCTGGCAGGAAGATTCTTTCTCATCATTCTCAAGTTCACATGCTGTCTTTGAAATTTGTCCCTCACATCCATATGCACTGTCTCACCCTTAGTCCAAGCCCTCGTGGCCTGAATTGAGTGTTCCTGCCTCCTGTGTTGCCTACTCCCTCATGAAACTGTAGCCAGAGGGAGCTTCTAAAATACAAATCTGATCATGTCATTCCTTTACTTGAAACCTTCATTCCCTACATTAGATAAAATCTAAACTCCATGGTTTGTCATGTTAGACCTTTAGTGATCCAACCCTCACCTCTCCATCCTCATTTTTCACCGCTTCCCACAAGTACCCCAAACTCTAGCCATTCCAACTATTTCCAGCTTTCCCTGACAGCAACAAAATTCTCACACTTCCCAGGGTTTTCAATTCAATTCAAAAGTATGTATTAACAACCTACTCTGTGCCAATTAACAGCATAAGATAAGTAGAAAGCCCAGACTGTCATGAGAGAAAGTCAAGTAAACAAAAGCGACATTAGAGTGTCTTGGGCAAAGGGCTCAATAAATATGGGCTCAATGGATAAATTATGGCCCAAAGGTGGGTCTGTCTGACACACTCTTCTCTTGACCTTCCACACCACCCCCTAATCCTTCTGCGTTCCTCCTCTTCTTCTCCTTCTTGTTTCCCATTCCAAGCCCCTCTAGCCCCTTTTCTCCTTATAGGCCATTCCTCCGAGACTCCTTGAAGGCAGCTCAGGGAACACTGTCTGCCCTAACAGCCCTGCACACACACACACACACACACACGCGCGCGCGCACGCACACACACGCACACATACACACACATGCACATGCACACATGCGCAAACACGCGCATACACACATGCTGAATGCACACACATGCACACACGTGCACACATGCACATGCACACACACAGGCGCACGCACACACACATTTGCAGTCTGGTTTAGACCCCTTCACTGTGCCCATAGAGCACCTATTTTATGTCTAATGGAGTCTGGGATACAACATTCGTTGTCTTTTTCTTTTTTTTTTAAGAGATAAGGTCTCAGTCTGTCACCCAGGGCTGGAGTGCAGTGGTGCTATTATAGCTCTCTGCAGCCTCAAACTCCTCAGCTCAAGCAATCCTTCCATCTCAGCCTCCCACGTAGCTGGAACTACAGGCACTGCCACTTATGCCCAGATAATTTATTTTATTTTCTATAGAGATGGGGTATCACTATGTTGCCCAGGCTGGTCTTGAATATCTGGCCTCAAGCGATCCTGCCACCTCAGCCTCCCAAAGCACTGAGATTACAGATGTGAGTCACTGCACCCAGCCTCATTGTCTTTCTTTCACTAAACTGTGAATGAACATCCTGACTACAAAAGACCAGTTTTTCACCTGCATCCACAATTAAGTGCTTGGCACATAGCAAGTGCCAAGTGAGGGACAAAATGAATTAATATGAGTAAATGAATGAGACAACATTCCTTTGAAAAATAGTGGTCAGGTGAATTTGAGCTTTGCATATCATCCTCTTTGGATATTGGATTCTTGGATATGACATTTGGGGGCAACCCACCGGCTCGGTTTCTAGAATAGGCGCCTCCACTCAACGGAACAGAAGTGGAGAGATGAGGCGAGCACGTTGTTTGAAGAAAGCCAACATCAATGCAACTGAGGCCAGACAAAGCGCTTGCCTGTCTTCAGAGCCCCAGGGACCCACCAGAATATCTGTCATCCCTCAGTCTCCTGAAGGCTGCACCTCCCAGCCCATTAGAAATGCTAATCTCCAGCTTGGAGTGGGATTAACAGGCCCAGTGGGGAGGGCACAAGCCATCTTCCCATCTTTATTAAGAGTGAAGGCTCTGCCCCCTCTTGCCCAGCTGCCCACAAAGGGCTGGAATCTGGGAATTCATTACAGCCTTTCTCATCAAGGAGGCCTCTCCTGTCCAACATTATTTTAGGTGGAGAAAGGCGGGGGAGGGGGACCCATTTCAGCATCCCCCTCCCCACTTAACGCATCAGAGCCCATTTGTTTGATGTCAGTTCCTGCTGGAGCACCGACCAGGCAGTGGGCCTCAGAGCAATTTAGAGCCACAGCTGTGGCCCGACAGCCCAGCCCCCAGCCCCCAGCCCCAGCCCCCAGCCCCCAACCCTCACTCCTACTCCCACCCCAGAATTTGCTGCTGATTAGCCCCAGCCACACACACACCCCAACCACCCCCCCAACCACCACCAGCAAGAAGCATGGCTTTGTGTAGACCTGGGACTCGGTTGAGTCTGATAAGGTCTGCACACAGACCCTCAGCCCTGGCCGGGGCTCACTGGAAACTCACCTCACCCACACTGAACCCAAACAGGAGTTCTGACTGCTCAGCTTCGCGCAGAGACAACTGCAGAGAGTGAGAAGCTAGAGGACGGGATTCTTCCACACTGAAACAAACACACACAAGGACATCTCCTGTGCTTAAAACCCCAAATACCTTCTCAAAAGGCTGAATCCTAGTAAACCAAGGGTCCAGGCTTGATCTGGGTACAGAGGTTGCAGATAGCATCTGGGGAGAGCTTTGTATAATAGAGAGGGGGAGATTTTGGACCTACAGGGCAATCCAGGGGGCAGCAACTGAGGAGCAAGAAACAGCAGAAAGGAGATTAGAGGAGTGGTTCTCAAAGGGTGGTCCCTAGACCGGCAGTATCAGAACCACCTGGGAACTTGTTAGCAGTATCAGAACCACCTGGGAACTTGTAGCAATTCACATTCTTGGCTGGGCACAGTGGCTCACGCCTGTAATCCTAGCACTTTGGGAGGCTGAGGCAGGTGGATCACTTGAGGCCAGGAATTCAACACCAGCTTGGCCAACATGGTGAAACAAACCCCTTCTCTACTAAAAAACACATTCTTGGGCCTCACCCTATATCTACTGTATCAGAAACTCTGGGATTTGTGTTCTCACAAACCCTCCAGGTGATGCTGATGCAGGCATCATGTTTGAGGCCCCTAGATGAGAGGGACACACTGAAAAACCTGTGTATGCCTGGATGTGACCCTTCTTCACGTCCCCCGAATTGGCAATCAAGCCTACTACATTTGTGAATTTGCTTCTTGTGAATGGATGTTTTATGCAAACTAGCAAAGTTGCTGGACTTTACATCCAAATTGATGCAGGGCACAGAGACTGCAGAAGAATAGAGGGGTCAGAGCATGAACCCCCAGGAATTAGCAAAAATGGTGAGGGGGGCTTGGACTTTCACAGTCCATGGAATTGGCAGGGGACTGAGCTGTTTATACATTACTGTCAAAGAGGCAAGAAGGCACCAGATGGTATTTGGGTCACAACACATTTACATGTAAGTGACTTAAGAGGAGAAGGGGAACGAATATTGTTGAAACCAACTGCATGAGGCACAGTGATGTGCATTTCATGCCAATGCTCTCTTTTAGCCTGCACACCAGCCCTTTGACGTAGGTAGCTTTACATCCTGTTTTGCATGAGGAAATTGTGACTCCAAATAGCAGAATAATTTTTTTTTTTGAGACAGAGTCTCACTCTGTCACCCAGGCTGGAGTTCAGTGGCATGATCTCAGCTCACTCCAACCTCCGCCTTGCTGTTTCCAGCGATTCTCCTGCCTCAGCCTCCCAAGTAGCTGGGATTACAGGTGCCCACCACCATGCCCAGCTAATTTTTGTATTTTTAGTAGAGACGGGGTTTCACCATGTTGTCCAGGCTGGTCTCGAACTCCTGACCTCAGGTGATCTGCCCGTCTCAGCCTCCCAAAGTGCTGGGATTACAGGCGTGAGCCACTGCACCCGGCCCAAATAGCAGAATAATTTGCCCAAGGTAAATGACAAAGCCAGAACTAGCTGCCAGTTTGGTCTGACTAAAAAACCTCCACTTTCACTACTGTGATTGGGGTATGAATGGGCCTCCCTGTGAAGAATCAGCCCTGGTGCCTGTGCCTCAAAGGCATCATGCCAGAGCAGCCCCTGCCAACTCTCCAACATGTCCCCGCAACCGTTCGCCCCCCTCCTCCGCTCTGGGTAGCAGGACGTGCAGGCTCCTGAATGCCCCAGGAAACCCCAGGAGAAGGTTGTGGGTGCCATGCAGCTCGTGGTCACATGATGAGGGGGCAGCAAATTACAGGTGCTCAGCTTTCTGCAAATGTGCCCTAAGTACCAAGTAAGAGCCAGGACTCTGCAGACAGGTCAGGCACTAGCTGTGTGACCTCAGGCAACTGACTGAACCTCTCTTTGCCTGAGTTTCCTCATCTACAAAATAAGGGTTGTCATTGTAGCTACTTTGTAGGTTGTTGTAAGGATCAAATCAATTGAAATGTGAAAAGTGTCTGAGGCATAGGAAGCACTATATAATAATGTATTACATTTAAATAAATGAATGAATCACTTTACACTTTCCCCTCTGCTGTCTACCCAAATGTTCTTCCAGACTCGACACCCTCCTTCAAAAACCCTCCCAATCCTTCAAAGCAGGCTCAAATCCATTTCTCATAATCCCCTTGGCCCACGGGGCTAGCTCTCTCGAGAGCTTTTCTCAACCTTCTTGCTCCTCCAGCAGGGACTTGTCTGACATTGCAGAGACTTTCTCCTGTATCTGGCCAGGCTGCAAACCTGCGGAGGGCAGGGCCAGTACTTTATGCCTCTTGTACCTTTGTGGCCCCCAGTCCTGTGCCCCACACATAGTGTGTGGGGGTCCATAAATACATGTTGACTGATCCTTGGGACCCGCAGTCCCTGCAGGGTAACCAGATCCCATTTGTATTCAAGCTGTCTGCGTTACTGTATTTATTGGCCGGCTAGTGGTTTAGTCCATGGTGTATAGGGGTTAGGGATGAGGAGGGGGCAGGCAATATTTCTCTTCCTAAAAGCAAGTTTACCAGGTTCCAAGTGGCTGGATGTAAGGGCCAGTGATGAGTGTTGAGAGCTGGGGTTCACTCTACAGCCCCATTAATTAACTTTCCCCAAGTCCCCTAAGTGCTCTTGCCTCCCGTTAAAGGCCAGCAACCCACCGTCATTCATCAGAAAGGACAGTCCATCCTTCACTTCCCTCCCTCCTGCTCCTTCTAGCTCCAGCCTGGCTGTTAGGACACACTATGACCCTCAACTCACCCAACAACCCGTGTGGCAGAAGAGGATAAGGCTGGATGTCCAAAGGCCTGGGTTTGCCCCAAGAATGACCCCAGGACAGGACTCAGCCAATGTCCTTTTCACAAGCCCCACAGCACTGGGTCCCCATGGATGTGGATGCGGTTACCTCTCTGGGGTCATTTTACACCAAGATATAGGAGCCTGACTCCCAAGCTTAGAGCTTCTTCCGGGCCATAGGCATTCGGGGTTCCTTCCTTCTCAACACTGACAACACCCCTCCTCAGGGAAAGATGGTCTGGCGAAGACCGACATCAATGCAGTCAGCCCTAAGACCCAGAGGAGCTCACGTCTTCCATCCTTCTCCCTACCGAGTCCCAGCAACAATCTCCGTGAAAAGCAAAAAACACACAGAAAATCTTTCCTTCCAAATTACTGCATCAACCTCCTTCCCAAGTTTTCTGCAGGGCGTGCCCTGGTGTGGCTGGCATGGGTGAGGCCGCTGGCTGACTGCGGGGAACGTGCACAGGGCCCACCCAGGACCCCAGGAGACCCCCTAGTCCCCTCTCAATTATGTGCCTGTGGTTCAGACCCATGGAATGTCAGGGCTGGAGTAAGCCCAGGTCCAGTCCCCTTGTCTTACAGATTCCACACACCAAGTGCTAAATCCAAAACTGGCTCCCATACCGCACAGCAAATGTACCCCCCCACCTTCCACATGAGCTAATGCGTCCTCAGAGAAAGCAGACTCACATTTCAAATGACGGCCACCAGACCTCATCTGAAAGAGCTGAGGGCTTTTCCGGGAGGAAAAAATACACAAACTTAGAAATAGACTCATTCCAAAGCCAAATAGCAATCATCTGGGATTTTCGGCTGCCCCAGACCCTCCACAGCCCACGATCCTCCTATGAAAGCTGGCAGCTAGGGCTGTGGCCAGTTTGGGAAAGTTGAAGGCAGGCACAGGCAAGATGGTAAATCTCAGGCAGCTCATCCCATGCTAAGCTGAAGAATTTGTAGGTGTGACTTTGGTTCCCAGAAGCAGACTCCAGACCAGGGCCTCTACACCCCCTTTCTTCCCTCTCCCTAACCCCGACATGCACCTCCTTCCATTTACCATTCCCCAGCCCCTCCTCAGAGCCCTCAGACCACTCTCGCAGGTCCATCAGTGGCTTTTAAGTGAGTCCCCAGCTTTCATCCTATTAGTGAGCCGGGGAGTAATTACGACTTCATTAGCCAAATAGGTTCTTGGTTCAGAGACTCCCTCCTACAAAACAAAACACACACCCGCTCCCCTCCATCTGAAGTCTGTCCCCGGAGGCCTGCAGCTAACAATGCAGTGGCTTCGGGGAAAGCCAGCAGGAAAGGGGGAAGGAGAGAGGGGAGGCCGGCCATGGGGAGGAGGCCCCCCGCCCTCCTCCAGGGCGCATCTGTCAGCTGGCCCCATAGAGACCTGTGACAGGGAGAGGGATGACACTCCAGCAAATGAGGCCGTGACCCCTCCGAGCCGTCTGCTGTCCCTTGCCCTCTGGCCTTGCTCACCCCTCCAGTTATGGGCTTAACCCATGGCCAGTGCACTTCACAGATGGGCAGGCAGCCTCCTCAGCTGAAGGCTCTCTGGGCTAATGTCCAGGGCCTCCAGAGGGCAGGGTAGTCCTGGCTCCCCCGCCCCATCTCCCACCCTATACTTCAGCTGCTGCAGCTCCAGGAGCAAGGAAGCCATGGGTCTGCCAGAAAGGACAAAGCTGTGACCCCAACCTCCCTGGCCAGGGGAACTTTAGCCAGCCCGCGGCCACCAGACCAGGCAGGCAGGTCCTGGGAAAAATGCCACAACCCCCGGCCTCTTATCTGTCATCCCACACCTCAGCATTAGAAAGAGTTTTCTTTGGGTCTGTATGAGCTCTGCATTGCAATTAAAACCATCCACACTTGGGCAATCGCGTACCCTCCTTCTCTTTTCCTATTCTTTTAATGGATTTTAGGAGCATGGAGTCTAATCCTCCTGCCTCTGAGTGGGACCCAGCTAGCCTAGTCTATGCCAAATCTTCCTGAGTTTCTCTAGCCAAACAATGCTAATCACAACGTCCCGCCTCTCCGCCAGGTCAGGTAAGCATCCAGGATGAGGCCACACCCGCTCCCATCACTCTTTTTTTTTTCTGAGACGGAGTCTTACTCTGTCACCCAGGCTGGGGTGCAGTGGCACGATCTCAGCTCACTGCAAGCTCCGCCTCCCGGGTTCATGCCATTCTTCTGCCTCAGCGTCCCGAGTAGCTGGGACTACAGGCGCCCGCCACCACACCAGCTAATTTTTTGTATTATTTACTACAGACAGGGTTTCACCGTGTGAGCCAGGATGGTCTTGATCTCCTGACCTCATGATCTTCCCGCCTCAGCCTCCCAAAGTGCTGGGATTACAGGCGTGAGCCACCGTGCCCGGCCTCCATCACTCCCATTGCCCACTCTCCGCTAGGAGAAGAGGCAGGCTCCCTGCAGACCCTCTGGCATGTGCCTCTTTGTCCATGCAGCTTCCAAAGAGAACTGGCTGCTTCTTCTGGGGGCTTTGCAAGTAACAGCTGATGAATTCTCATTCCTGCTGAGGGCCCCTCTGCTTGGGTCCTCCACCGGCAAGATGCCATCTGCTGAGGCTGGACCCAGAGGCAGAGGGATAGATGAGATGACCTCCAGACAGCCTTGCCATTTACAAGACTCCAAGCTATGTACAGCCTTGGCCCTGGCTCTGGCTCTAACTTGACCCCATTCTGTCCCCAGGTCCAACGACTCAGCCTCCATCCTCCCTCCCCACCACCCCAATCTACAACCAGTCCAGAAGCCAGGCAAGAGGACCTCTGCTCCTTGCCCTTCAAGGAAAAGGAGTCCTCAGAGGCCAGCCCAGCTGTACACACTGCGCCCCTGCTTGTGTTCCCTGAAAGCAACCGTCCTTTTGTTAATTCTGCCATTTCCCAAAGTGCCAGGAGCATCTCATCTGACAGCCACAGCATCTGTTCTTCTCACTCTCCAGAAGGTTGGGTGGGAGCCGTGCCAGCTTTTCCCCAAGGCTCTCCCAGCCTCACGTTCCTTCTGCCTGAGTTGGACACCCTGCTCACCTGGTCCCCTGGGGGCACCTCCAGTTCCCTCTCTGCATCCCTGGCCCCTGGCACCTCTTCCTATGACCACGGTTGGCAGCCTCGATAGCCATCTCCCCTCCCGGGGTCAAGCTCACCTGGCCAAGCAGATGGGCACCTATCCTCTTCCTTAGGGAAATGCAGGGAAAGTGGCTGTTTTCCATTTGAGGCCTGCCCAGGGCCCCTAGCAGGTATAGGAGCCACAGGCTGCCAAGGAAGGGAGAAGACTCATGCTTGGTCCTTTCCAGGGCCCCCTCCCTCGGTACATACAGCCTTTGGAATGCTCCATTGATTCCAAAGCAGTGAAGTTCTGGCTAGTTCCCCAGCCCATAAGACCCACTGGGAGTCTGGCCTGGCCCTGCCCTAAGCTTTAGCACGGGGCTCCTTCGGGCCGGGAAATTCTTAGGTGGTGGGGGCTGACCTGTGCACTGTAGGATGCTTAGCAGCGTCCTCACCTCTACCCACTAGATGCCAACAACACACCTTCTACCCCACACACACTCCCACTGTGATAACTACAAATGCCGCCAGACCTTGCCAAATGGCCCCCTAGTTGACAACCACTGAGCTAAGGCAAAAAAGAAACCCAACACCTAAGTGTCAGTGACTGACATCCCCCTGGTTTCTGATTCCTAGGCTGCAGGTGACAGAGGCATGGCTTAAACCAGGGATCAGCAAACATTTTCTGTAGAAAGCCAGATAGTAAATATCTTCAGCTTTGTTGAATGAATATCTTCATACAGCCTCTGTTGCAACTACTCGACTGCCGATGTGGCATAAAAGCAGCCACAGACAATATATAAATGAATGAGCGTGGCTGTGTTCCAATTAATCTTTATTTATGAACACTGAAATTTCAATTTCATATGATTTTTATGTGTCGCGACATCTTCTGATTTTTTCAACCATTTAAAAATGTAAAATGCATTCTTAGCACACTCTATGCCGCTGGCTTACAGGAGCTCAGAGGGATCAAAACACCTGGGGCCCTGTTGACCGGCTCCTAGGAGATTAACAAAGCCAAGGGCAGGGTTTGAAGTTGTGAATGAAGTCCTGCGCCTCTAGGACAGGGAGGAAGATCATTCTTTGGCCCAGTAACTCCAGGTACTGTTTTTAGTGGGGAAACCCCACTGACCTGAGCAGGACCAGCCACGTAACTTGCAGTGAGTGCCCAATGCAAAATGAGAATACTAGGCCCCTTGTTTAAAAGTGATTGTAAATTCCAAGACAGCAGCAGAAAAGCATTAAACCAAGCATGGGGCCCTTCTGAGCACAGACTCTACACACAGGCTGGGGATCCAGAAAGGTGGCCCTGGACCTCAGTCTACCTCCCAGAGAGGTCTGCACCCACCTCACAGCCTCTGCCAGCTCAGGCTCATCCTCTGACCCTGGTGGACAGCTTCTCCCAGGGGCCCTGCATGATGACACCTGGCTGAGGCAGTGAATAAAGAGTTAAACCTGGCTCATGCTCCCTCTCCATGCTGTGTGCCCTGGTGCAATTCTGCGTCTGCTTTTTGGGGTAATTTGCTCAACTTAGGTTGGTACTGGTCCTGCCTCCAGGGCACCCAGGGTGGAGAGAGAAGTAGCCACTTGTGCCCCAACACAATTGGTTGTTTATTTGCCTGGTGAGGCTTGGGAATGAGAAAACATTTTAACTGTGTCTTGAAGGAAGACTCTGAGTTTACCAGGTAGACCAGGTGTTTGTGGTATGAGCTGGAGGAGGCAGGGAAGAGATGGTGCCAGGAAGAAGCAACAGCTTGTGCAAAGGTGGCAGCATGGTAGATTTGAAAGGGAGTTGGTTAGCATGCCTGGAGTTGAGGGTGCAAGGAAGGGGTGAGGCTGTATCCCAGCACTTGGTGTAATGCCTGATACAAGAGGTACTTGGCATTTACTTGTTAAATGGATGTATGTAGGTATAGGTGAATGGATGGATGAATACAATATTTTCTAACAATTTCTGGTTATTGTTTATTGAACACCTGTCTACCCCCATTGTGAACCCCCAGAGAGGAATAGAATGACCCACTCATCAATTCATTTAACAAATATATATTAGTGGGTGGAGTACAGTGGCTCACGCCTATAATCCCAGCACTTTGGGAGGCTGAGGTGCGTGGATCGCTTGAGCACAGGAGTTCGAGACCAGCCTGGGCAACATGGTGAAACCCTGTCTTTACAAAAAACAAAAATAATCAGCCAGGTATGGCAGTGCATGCCTATAGTCCCAGATACTTGGGAGGCTGAGGTAGGAGGATGGCTTGAGCCCAGGGGGCAGAGGTTGCAGTGAGCTGAGATCAAGCCACTGCACTCCAGCCTGGGCAACACAGCCAGACCCTGTCTCAAAACACAAACCAAAAAACCCCAAATATATATTGGGCCTTTGCCACTATGCTCAGGGTACAAAGATACAAGATGCAGTGGTGGAGACACCCCGTCCACATAGAGATTAGTAGGCAGGATGCCTAGAAAGGGATAAGGGCACTGCAGAGGGTCACCTACCACCTACAGGGAGAGCCCAGAGCGGGCCTGGAGAGAGAGACTGCTGGCCTACATCTTGAGAGCCAGGGGAATTTAACCAGGTATACATAAGAGAGAAAAGTGCTATTACAAGCACGGAACAGCACAAAGAGAGTGAAATGAGAGAGTCCAACCCCTTCCAGAAATGGCAAGTGGGTCAATCAGGCTGAAGTAAGTCAGGAGAAGGCAAGAGAAGAAGGTAGACTGAGGAAGGATCAGACTACACTATCCCAATGAGCCCTGTGTGGCGTGGGAAGGAGCCTGGAATCTTACCTGGAGGCAAGAGATGCTGGAGAATTTTTAGCAGGAGAGTAACTGGATCTGATTTGCATCTTTGGTAGCTCATTCTGACTGTGGATCTGGAGAGTGAATGGGAGGGGTGAGACTGGAAGGCCTGGTGAGGATGTAACAATGCAGGTGAAAACTAGGGAGGGCCAGAGCTAAGACTGGGAGGAAGGCTGGGAAGGCAGAGGATACATAGAAGAGGCCTTTCGGGGGCAACAGAGTCAGCAGGCCTGAGTGGTTGGCAGGACTTGGGGGTGGGGTTGAGGAGAGAGAGGAGCCACAGAAGATGGAACAGTTTGGAGGGTGCCATTCATGGAGGCAGGTGTCTCCCACAAAATAATATGTTAAAACCTAAACCCTCAATGTGATACCATTAGGAGGCACAGCCTTTAGCAGGTAATTAGGTCATGAGGGTGGAGCTCCTATGAATGGGATCAGTGCCCTTATAAGAAGAGACAAGAGAGCTTGCTCTGTTGCTCTCTGCCATGTGATGATCCAATGAGAAGATGGCCATCTGCACACCAGGAAGGGAGCCCTCACCAGACACTGTCTGCTGATGCCTTGATCCTGGACTTTTCAGCCTCCAGAACTGTGAGCAATACAATTCCATTGTTTCAGCCACCCAGTCTGTGGTATTCTGTTAGCAGCCCAAGTTACTAATACAGCAAGGAACCCAGGAGGAGAAGCAGATAGAGAGGGTGAAAGTATGTATCAATCAGGGTTTATGATTGGGTTTATGAAGTTTATTTCAAGAAATTGACTTACAATTTGGGGGTTGGCAAGTCGGTTTTCTGTAGGGCAAGCCAGCAGCCTGGAAACTCTCAGGCATGAACTGATGCTGCAGGCTGGGGGCAGAACTGCTTACGTCTCAGGGAAACCTCTGTGCTCCTTAGGCCTTGCAACTGATTGGATGAAGACTATCCCCATTATCGAGAATAATCTTACTTAAAGCCAACTGACTGAAGATGTTAACCATGTCTACAAAATGCCTTCACAGCAATACCTAGATTCATGTTTGATTAAATGACTGTGTACTATAGCCTTGCCATGTTGACCCATAAAACTGACCATCACAGGTGGGGGTTTGAGTATCCTGTGGTGACATGAGAGGCCCATGGGCATCCAAGTGAAGACCTGTGGCTGGCCAGCACAGGTCTGAGCTCCGTGTCGAAGGACCCTTCCAGGTCTATGTCACCTCATCTACGACCTGCTGCAATGCCTGACTCGTCAGCCTTCCGATCTCCAGGTAGGCGTCTGTTCTGTGCACTCCACCCTCCCTGCCGCCCCATAGTAGACTCTTCAAAACACAAGTCTCAGCCTTGCAGGTGTTGCTTACATCCTCAGATCCTTCCAACTGTTCCCCCGTTGCCCTTGATAAAGGCCCCAAGGGCTTATAATGCTCATCGTGGACTGGCCACAGCCTACGCCTCCAGCCTCATCCCTTCCTTGCACCCTCAACTCCAGGCATGCTAACCAACTCCCTTTCAAATCTGCCATGCTGTCACCTTTGCACAAGCTGTTGCTTCTTCCTGGCACCATCTCTTCCCTGCCTCCTCCAGCTCGTACCACAAACACCTGGTCTACCTGGTAAACTCAGAGTCTTCCTTCAAGACACAGTTAAAATGTTTTCTCATTCCCAAGCCTCACCAGGCAAAGGCAGATGCCCCTCCATGATACTTCGTGCCAACTTGGGTTATAGCATTTGCAGGATTGGATTCTGATTATTTGTACACGTCATTCCCACCATTAAACTGTGAGCTCCTCATGAGCACTCACCGTGCCTTATTCTCCTCTGTATCCCAGCACTTGGTGCAATACCTGATACAAGAGGTACTTGGCATTTGCTTGTTAAATGAATGTATGTAGGTATAGGTGAATGGATGAATGAATACCATATTTTCTAACAATTTCTGGTTATTGTTTATTGAACACATCTTTTGTGCCAAACACTGTGCTAGAAGCTTTCAGTCCTGAATCAGTCTAGGTTCTCAGTTGCAGGCAGCATAAATAGACTTTGGCCATTGTAAACAGAAATGGAATTCACCAGAAGGCTATCAAGTCGATCACAGAATCAATGGAAAGACTAAAGAAGTCGACTGAGAAATGGGCAGGAGCCAACACAGGCCAGCCAGCAGAGACAGGCTGAGGTCACATCTGGGCAACGTCCAGCCAGGACGCCACCGCTGGCATCACCCACACTGGACACTCCCTTCACTGATGCCAGAACCTTGAAATGCCCGCTGCCTCCTCCACTGTCCAACATGTATGTGTACCTCGCCTCGGCTGATCCACGCAGCTCTCTGAAGCAGAGCCTCTCCTCCACTTTACAGATGATGAAATTGAGTCTTAGAAGCCTATGGTCACACAGCCAATCAATAAGGTGGGTGGAATTGGAATCAAGATCTGTCTGACTCCAAGGCCTTCCAACCACTCTGCACTGTCTCCTTCCCGGGGGCACCACTGACATTGTTCTTCATGAAGGAGCTCCCTGTGTAACGCTACACAGCAGCCCCGAGATTCCACATTGACGTGGGCTGATTGAAACTGCTTCCAAGAGGTTGTACATCAGACACCCAGAGATCCTGGAAAACAGGGGTCTGGCCTAAGGCTCAGGGAGGCCTGCAGAATCTAGTAAAGGACTCCAATGTCCCCACCTGCCCCTTCCAGCTCCCATGTTCCATGGCTGCCTATTAGCCACCCCGGGCAGGCTTAGTAAAGGGCAGACAGAGCAAAAGGTTATCGACTCTTCAGCCCAGCCCACTTCCAGGGTCACAGCTGCCCCCAAGACTGTTCTGTCATATCCTCTGGATGGCATGGCTTTTACCGGGACCAAAAGATGTCCCCACCAGGAACGTCCTCCTTAAACCCAGATGACCTGGGGCAGTCAAGGACAGAGCTCCAGGCAGGGAACCCACGCACCCAGTCCTAGCCCAGCCCCACCTCCACTGCTCTGTGACCTTGGCCCAATCATTTCACCTTTCTGGCTTTGCTTTCTTTGTGACTCAATCCCTCTCTACTGTCCTGCCCTCCTGCCCTCCCACCTTCCACACCAGCCAAATTGTTTCATAAAAAAAGAACTCAGGGTTCTTTGAGCTCTTTGGAGAGACCACATAAATGCAGGGCATTATTAGCATCATTACTATTAAATATTAATAATGACATTAGCATCATCTATTATAAGCCTGAAAAAGGAGCTGCAAGAGCCCTGGGTTGAAATGGCAAAGAGAATAATTAGGCCCCTCCAGGCCACAGACCCCTCTGGGCCCTCACATGAAATTAGGAAGGCAAATGCAGACAGGGCATTGAGATCTTCCTTCCAGCACCCCTGCTAGGTCAACTTGGCTTCTCCAGGCATTACACAAATCATGGCCTTCCCAGGCCCCACATCTTGGCTCCTGCCACACCACATGCCCCCATGCCAGAAACACATTCCCCACCTCCTCTCTGTCCATCCAGGCTCAATTCAAGATGCACCCACCCACCCCCACTGAAAGCTTCACCCACATCCTACCTCCCTCTCTCCTCATCCTCTGAATGGTTACTATAGCTACTCTCCTTCATTCATTCACCCAGTCAACAAATATTTATTGAGTCTCCACCATGCACCAGGCACTGTGCTAAACAGGAGGGTGGGGGACTGGGAGAATACGGACTGATGAGATAATCCCTACCTTTTGGACTGCATAGCTGAGGGAATGGCCATCAGTATTTGATATGGCACTTTGCAATTCAAAGTGCTTTTAAAAACCATTATGTTTAATTCACATATCCTCACTACCATCCTAGATAGGAGTAGGATCATTCCTATTTTACTGGTGAAGAAATGGATTATCTGGGCGATTAAGTGTCATTCTGTTACTTGCCCAGAGTCATCCAGGTAGGAGTGACAGAGCTGGGACAGAGTCCAGTTCTCTTGACTACAAATCCAGAGCCACCCCAACCACTTGCAGCCCTTACTGCTCTGCCTCATATCCTTGTTTTACAGATGAGGGAGGCTAAATCCCAAAAGGGAAATACTGACATTTATTGAGCACCTGCTGTGCTAGCTACTTCACGTGTAACTCAACACTCACATCAACTCAGTGAGGTATGTGTCTTCATCCCCATATTCTGGGTGAAGAGGTATGTGGCTTGCCCATGGCCTCACATCTCCTCAGTAGCAGGACTGGGTGTCAAACGGGTCTGTCTGCAGAGCTTTTCCTTATGGCCATATCAGTTTTCCCCAGAGCTGTGGATGGACAGTCCTGTTACCACTGTCACACTGCTTCCAAAAAGGTCACTGGCACTTTGAAGACCGCATCCCCTGGCTCTTGGATCCCTACATTCCAGGCAGAGGAGCTGCTCCATAAATACATGGCCTCCTGGGAAAAGGGTCTGGGCAAAGATGCTGGTGGCGGGAGAGGCCAGGAAAGGAGAGGTGAGGCGGGGGAGTGGTGAGGAAAGAGACAGCAAAGCTGCAGCATCCTGGGGCCATGGCAGGGTCTCATCTCCTCCCCACTTGTCCCCAGGGATGGGGCCTAGAGGTCCCTTCTTGATCGGTTAGAGACCCACTGGATTCCATTGCTATCAATCTTGTGTGGCTACAGTAGGAAGAAGCAGATGGTCTGGGCAGGGTTGGGTGGCCCTCAAAATGCTTTCTGATCCCCACCCACCACCACCAAGGGAGCACCACATGTTTGCGGACAAATTTATAAGCCATTTGACTAGCCACCTGATTATCTTCACTGGCCCTTTCTTGCCCTGTTTGAAAGTCTGTGGGGACTCAACTTTGAGATGTGGAGTCCCAGCTCTGGACAACATGGAGTCATATTGATCAGCCACAGAAAGGAGAGGTGGCCCTTATGGTCAGCTGCACTGAAGATTGTGGGCTCTGGATGTCACCAAAGAAGAAGAAACTGTTCTGCCCCCTATTTTGCCCACCTCAAAAGAACAGACAGTAGGTAGCTGGAGTCCATGGCACGGTGGCTAAGCCAGGATGCTGGAGGCCGATCCCAGGCCTCACTCTGTCATCTAGGCTGGAGTGCAGTGGCACGATCACAGCTCACTGCAGGCTTAACCTCCCAGGCTCAGGTGATCTTTCTACCTCAGCCTCCTAGGTAGCTGGGACTACAGGTGTGCACTGCCACACTGGCTAATTTTTGTGTGTTTTTTGTTGAGACGGGGTTTCGCCACGTTGCCCAGGGTTCCACTTGTTTACTATTTCTTTTGAGCAAGTTCCTTACTCTTACTGAGCAACATCTGAAAAGTGAGGATAATAACAACATGGACCTCTTGCGCAAGTAATTCAGGTAAAGCATTTAGCACAGCTCCCGGCATGTGGGAGGCATTCAAAACAGATATTATTTCTGTTATTATCAAGCTAATGGGCCCCACAAGCAAAACTCAGCCTGCACCCCCAAATGCCCACCCCACTCTCTCCTCAGGAACAGGAGCATCTCAGAGACTGGGAGTGCAGATCCCCCTAATCTCCCCAAACTCATTCATACTAGACTTCACTGAGAGCTTCAGACAAGTGAGAAGATGAGACTTTGGGAACTGTCTCCCCATCCAAGTCTAGGCTTGGCAAATGTTCTTGTTTTCACTTATTGTGTCTGCCAGAGTCCACATGGAGCATGCTGGTTGCATTGAGATCTGAGAGTCTTTAAGACCCAAGTCACCTGTGCTAACGACCCTCCCCAGAGACCCAGCTCCCACCACAGGGCAGCAGCTGTCCTAAAATAGAGTCACAAAGACAGCTGTCTCCGTCTAAAGCAATCCTTGCAAGCATTTCCAGACTGTTGGTTCCTGGGCCAGCCTATTTCCTGGCCCGTCAGCCCCCTGCAGCAGACATAGCATCCTTTTCTTGGCAAGGACTTGTTCCTGCCGTTTTCTGCTAGGAGAGAACTTGCAGAGCCTCTCTTTGGAGCCCAGGCTGACTTGAATGGTGCCAAAGAGCAAGGTTCACCTCAGGAGCTCAGAGCCAATGTGCCAGCCCTCAGACATACAGATAGGCAAGGACAGTGTGGGCAGGGGAAGGAAGGGAAAGATATCCTGGCAAGGGGTTGATGTGTCTGTCTATATAACAGCATTCAACATTATTTAAGAAACATCATTAGCAAAATCCAAGTCCTCCCCATCAGGAACAAAGAAGACTATCTCTCAAGTTGGGCAAGCCCTTTGGAGGGGCTCAGAAGGAAAGGAGGGGAGCGCATGTGGGACCTGGGCAGACATTCCAGCCTTGGAGGCTGAGCAGCAGAACCTCCCCGACTCCTTCTCCTTTTCCAGACCCTCTCATTCTGGCCCAGGTCCCCAGGACCTCCTCCACTCAGGGAGACATGGAGCCATGATCCAGGCTTGACAGGTATAGCCATTTAAAACTGGGAGGCTGGCCTGGCCCTGCCAGCTGTTGCAGCATCTGGACTGCTCACCGGTCTTGCCTGTGCAAGCTGGACAGCAGGCAGATCAGAGGGGGGTGAGACAACAGTGACAGCCTGACAGGGCCGACTGGTGCCGCAGATGGCTGGTCCCTCCGCCTCCGGGCCACAGCCTTCCTGGGCACTCCCCCACGTGACCGGAGCAGGGCAGGAGAAAGGCATCGCTGACAAGGGTGAGCACTTAGAATCTCAGAGCTGGCAGGACTGTGTCCATCTTTAATCCCTTCAGGTACCAGCGAGGCTCAGAGAGGGCAGGGCACCTAGCCAAGCACACACAGCCAGTCGGTTGTGGAGCCCAGAGTATGCTTCAGACACCCAGACCCCTAATCCAGGGAGCTTTTCATGACATCACACTGCTGGTTGCTTAAAAATGGGATTGGATCCAAACGTACTGATGCGTAAAAGTGTCCAAGATCAGTTACACAGTTAAAAGTCTTTGGCCAATCCTACTGTTTTATGTAATCACATTTGTGTGAAATAACCCTACTAACCCATGTAATTGTATACACGAAAATAATAAACCTGGGGGCATGTACTTAGATTTATTAAGAGTAGTGGTTGAGGGACTTTCACTATGTATTTTTAAATGTCCTCTAATATTTAGATATTTTGACAAAAAGCTCAAACTACTTTTGAACAAGGGAAACAATAAAGAGGAACATGGGGTGGACCGGGCAACAGAGACAGCCCCTCCCTGCCACTTGCCCCACACAGCAAGCTGGGATTTCTGATTTGGATCTCTTCCTCGGATAGGGGATTTCTGGGGAAACCAGGAGTTTTGGCTCCATGGGTCTCCAGGGTTTGAGGAGTAAGAGCCACTTTCTTTTCCCTCTTCACCCCGCCCCTCTCCTGCCCCTTCAGCCCTGGGCAGGGGGACTAGAAGTGGGGCTGGGCAGGATCGGGAGGGCAGGCGGGCCAGACAGCGCCCCGCGGCCTGTCCATGAGCGGCCCATGCATTATGGAAGACGCGCGCTGGGCTCGCTCCCTGGTCCTTAAATGACAGCAAATGAGGTAAAGCCAGGAGGGTGGGGACGGAAGTGGGGTGGGAGGGGGGCAGAAGGAAGCCATCTCCAGGGCCCCCGAGCGTTGGCTGAGGACCAGAGCCAGCCAGTGAGCGGAGCCTGGGAGAGGGAGGAGCACATCTTGATGCAGAGATGCTGCAGTGGCTCCGGGCGCGCTCACACACACGCGCCCTCACCCGCCACCGCCGCCGCGGCCGCCGCCGCACCCGGACAGCGAGCGGCTGAGGCCGCCAGGGCCCAAAGGACAGCGGCCCAGACAGGGGCTGGCGGCCCGGCCGGCCCCGGCTCACCGACTCGGGCAGCATCCACCTGCCCCAGCCAACACCCTTCTCTCGCCCCAGGTAGGTGCCAACCGCTTTTGTCTCCTCCAACCCAGGGACTTCCCTGCGTGCTGTTATGGGCCGGGGCTCCCGGCTCAGTTCCTGTAAATATCCCCCTTGTAACTTGGGAGGGAACAGGGACAGGAACACTGGCAGGCTGGGGCCGTTCTGACTTCTCCCCTCAGCCCCAGGGTGGGTGCTGGGGCTCCCCTCCGCCCTGTCTACGTGGGCGGCATCCCGCAGGGCTCTCTCAGGCCGAGCCTGGCCGAAAAGCTGGACCCCAGGAGTGTGTCCAGGAATTCCAGTTGGCCAGCGGGCAGTGGCAGCTGCCTGTGGAGAGGGCAGTTTCTCCTGGGCCGGCCCTGGGCACCCGGTCCAGGACAGGACCAGTCCATACAGCCAGGCCCTGGGCCCTGGCCTGCCCCAGAAGTCCCTGCATGGAATTGAGCCGGAGTCCCCAGTTTTGAGGTCACCCAGGGTCTACCTCTGCAGGGTGACCTCTTTGCAAAGTCTTGCTTCAGCTGGATGGAGAGGGGGGCTGTGGAAGAGAGAGGGGAGAGTGGAGCACAAGTTTGGGCAAGGGCCTGTCCAGGAACTGGGACTCGGGGAGGAGAGTCCTGAGGCCAGTCACATCCCAAAGGGCGAGAGGCTGGGGCTACCGGGCTGAAATTCCTTTCCTTCCCTTCCCCCTCCCAACCTTAGCTTCTCCTCAAATCCCTCCCCCCCATCCTCACTGGTGGGAGGGAAGAATTTGCACAAAGTTTGGCTTTCCAGTAAGGAAAGGGGCTGGGGCCAGAATGGTATGGGGAAGGGAAGGGGCAGAGCTGGGGAGTTCTGGAAAGAGAGGGCAATCCTTCTGCCCAGCACCGTGGGGCTTACATAATGGGCTGGAGGTGGGGGGCAGCCCCAGCCAGTGAGTGTCCAGAGCTGAATCCTGTCACCTTCTCCAAGAGGGTCTCTCAGGTCTGGGAAGCAGCGGGGCATGGAGAAGGCAGTGCCTATGGAAGGGGAGAATCCTGCTGCTACTTGGGGATGGAGACGGGCACCCTCTAGCCCCAGACCCCTGGGGGTTGAGCCTGTGTCCTGGGGGGGGGGGTCCAGTGAGGCCAGGAGGGAGTGGGGTTGTGCATGCCATGGCCCCAGCCCTGGAGAAAGGTGGGTTTCAGCATCTTTTCCCTCTGCTCAGAAGGAGCTGGGAGGAGGAACAGCCCAAGAAACCCAGTGCACAGGTGATGTTCTGGTCTCGTCTGGGCAACAGTTTCGGCCTCCTCTCCCAACCGTCTGGCCAAAGACGCCTCAGCTCACTTAGCCTCCGAGTCTCTCTACCTCCTGGTCCCACTCAGAGGGGCCGGATGAGCCACTGGAGATCGAGTGCAGCAAAAGGTGGGCCACCTGTGGGAGAGGCTGCTGTGATCGCACCTGGACAGGGAGATGGCCTGGAGGTCACAACAGGTGCCCTCACTCCTGGCCTTGGGAGAAGGGAGCTCTCCCCTTAAAGACAGCAGCATCCAAGCCCCTCCCCAGGGTGCCCACCAGTTAACCCCTTTCTAGCCAAGCTGCAGAACCATGGACAGGGCTTTTGCCACAAGGTCAGAGTCCTTCCTAATCTCCCGTGGAAGTCCTCAGCGAATAAGAGGGAGGCAGGAGGTGAGACAGACAGGAAAGGGCCCCTGACCTGATGATGTCAAAGTCACCCAAGGTCCACCTGCCTCACAGGTGCAGAGACCACTGTGCTCACACCATGAGCGGTGAGGGAAGCAGAGGCACACTCCTTATGCAGATGAGTGCCTCAGACTCCAGGAGTCTGCTCTCATTCCCGGCTCTTTCTCTCTTACTCTCCTCCCTTCCTCTACTCCTTCTTTCCTCGCACTCCCTTCTCTCATCGCGTGTACTCCACCGGCTTCAGCCCTCAGCCTCCCGCCGCCACCATTTCCCCTGCCAGATTTCACTCCTTATGCAACTCCATTCCAGCACCTTCTCTGCCAGCAGTTGTTCAAATAGAGACACATGTGGGATGGGCCTCCGAGGAATTGTGCTTAACGGGGTGATTGCACATCTCGTCTCTGGCTGACCAAACTTACTCCTTAGGAGCATGTACATAGACAGGTGTACCCCAAGGCATCCTTTCTGCCTCTAAAGTCACCAGGGAAGCAACGCATTTGGGGTGGTTTGGAGGATGCATGGTGCCCTCTTCAGAAACCTCCTTGAGCCAAACGTTGGTGAGAAAGCGTATTTCAAAGACAATCTCTAAGCCTGAGTGTGGGTGGTATTTGTATTTTTGGAGGGATTCCTAGGGCAGAACCAGGGGGTTGGAGAAGAGGTGATTGATATGCAGGGGAGGAAGAACCAGAGCAAAGAATATGCCAGGGAAGCCAGAGGGACTTAAGTTAGACTGCAGGAGACACTTCCTGGCTAGAAGAGTGAGCCATGAGGAGGTGGGGCAGTCTCCTTTCAGATGACTCTAAGGATGGTGTGGAGAACTGGGGTCTGGTCCAAGGTTAGAGAGTCCTGCCTAGAGGCAAAGGTTGGGCTGGCTGACCCTGTAAATTTCTTCCAACTTCTAGTAATCCTCTTTCAAATGGTAAAAGGTGGATGTGACTCAGGAATCCATAAGAAGGCAGACATCCTTTTCATCCCCTCATGCATGCTGGCCACCCCCTCATCCTTCAGGACTACAACCCCAATCTAAACAAACCACCCAGAGGCTGTTGCTAACCTGGAACATTTATGGGAGTTTCTGTGGGCTCCGTATCCTGACGGTAACCATCCTAGAGTAAGTCCTTTCTTAGTTTGATGATTCCTTGCTACAAGATTAGCCCATGTTTCTTTGTTTACCAAAGAGAATGCAAACAAAAGCAAGGAGTGTGATATTCTCATCCAAAACCTGAACACCTCCCATCCCAGGACACACTCAGGCCCAAACGCATCTCAGTGTCCTTTTTACCTAATGAGACATTCAGTTCACTACGTAGGTGGGGAAGTCAACCCCAGCCCCTCACACACACCCATCTAGTCAAACCTGCTGGGCTTCCTCCAGCCTAAGCCCACATCTTCTCAGTGCCTGCCACCCTGAACACCCTGACCAAGGGGTTCTCCCACCCTGTGCCTGGCTGGAGGGCAGCCTTCCTGCAGTGCTGCCCAAGAGGTGAAGTTAATCTGGACCCCAAATCCAAAGGAAACTAGCTTGAGAGGAGGAGCAGGTTGGACCTCACCCCCACCAGGCTTAAGCTCTGAGCCACCCTGGAGGAAGCTGTCTAGGAACTGGGGGGAGCCTCCTTGCAGCAGAGTTGGGGGACAAGCAGAAATTGCTCTGCTAATGCACGAGGAAATTTTCTTCCTGATTTGCTTTTTCAGAAACAAGTTGAAACCATTGTTCTTACGCCTGGCATCTCAAAAAGGGATCCTTCTAAAGCCCTCACTCACTGCCTCACACCACACACAGAGCAGGGCAGGCAAGTAGGAAAACCTAAGGTCTGGGGGTGGCTGGCTTCTGATCCTGAGCTTCCCAGGAGGATGGAAGCCTCTCTTCTTCTGTCCACTCCCTACTTTAAAGGGTCTCTCTGTTAGAGTAGGTCTCTCTTGCAGGGGCAAAGACTCTAGGCTCAGATCAAGGGCCAGACTCCCCCCTGCCCAATGCTAGAAGATCAAACAAATCCATGAGCCTGGGAGCCACAGCTCTCCCCAGAGGGCACGTCAGCACCAGGGCTGGGCCTCGGGGAAGCAGCTGCAATCACAAAGAGCCTGCAGAGAGAGCTGAGCAGCTCACAGAGGGGACTAAGGAAGGACGGGGCTGCACGACACCCCTGGTCCCCATTGGGGCTGAGGAGGTCCCTATGTCCCCATTTCTGCCCTAAGGATGTCTCCAGCTCAGGGTACCACAGAGACCCCTCAGTCACAATCCTTCACCCCACCCCTGCCAGCTGCAGCCTGGCCTGGCCCGCTGAGATCCTAGCAGCCCTCACCCACGCCACCACAGAGCCCTGTACTGACCAGAGGGGCATGGGGATGGTTCAGACCTTCCTGGAGGATGATGGTGCTGTCCCAGGAGGCAATTCTTGTCTTAGGCAAAGGAAAAGGTACTGATCTTAGATCCCATCAGGCAGGAGGTGAGGGCTGTTGAGAAGGAGTACCTGCTTGGGAGTGCCTGTCCTGGCCGCGTGACCCCCTGAGCACATTGTACCAGGTATAACTCTGGCATGGGGGCTGTGTCCTTGTGCCCTAGTCTGGGGTGCTGTGCTAGTGCTTACCTATGACCATTGCACCTTTGAGGCGTAAGAGGAGGGAGGCACCTGCCCAGGAGATTGTGGGTTTGTCAGTCTCCTAAATACATATGAGTGCCGCCTGGACGTTGTGACTGTATAGAAGTAAGCCAGACAGGCACAGTGGCTGCGGACACACGGCTGTGAGATTTCTCAGTTCTAAGATCTGATCTTTCCTGAGCACTCACTATGAGCCTGTGATGGTGCTGACCTCACAGCAGCCCCATGGGGCGGGTCCTGCCCTTCTCATCCCATTCTTGCAGATGGGAGAGTGAGGCTGGGAGAGGTTAAGTAACGACTGTGATAACCAGGTTATACTAGTTAGTTTTATTAGGGTTATACTAGCTAGACAGCAGCAGGCAGGTTGACTCAATGGCCTGCCCTGTTAACCAGTGTGCTGTTTTATAGGATAGAGGTCAAGCGGGGGCCTGAAGGGCTCCTCAAGTACTTTGTAGGCTGATAATAAATCACTTAGTCTCTGCCCACAGCTGGGCTCTGAACTCCCCTTTGCTACCACCATCCATCGGAAGTTGCCAAATCTCTCATTGCTCTCCAATCTCCATTACTGGGGAGAAGGGGAGACAGATTCAGGGCCAGGAGCTGGGCATCCCAGTAGGGAGAACTCTGGGGTGGAGGGTGTACCTTTTATTTTTTGACTGGCTCCATGCGGGGGGCCTTATCCCAGAAAACCTTGTCGTGTGTTGGAGCCCCACTCATAGCCTTCTGTCCCCCAGCTGTCCCCCAGGCCCTTTGTTTCCTGGGACTGACAATTCAGCCAACTCCCCCTGGTGCCCCCGAACCCCCCAGTGGTCCACTCCCCCATGTGCTGGTGCCTTGCAGGACCAGCCCCTGCTGATGACAGCCTGTGCTTGCCTGTGCCAGTCTGTGCCTGCACCCCTGCACCAGGGCAGCTGGCCTGGGCGAGGCTTGGCTGGCTCAGGGTTCGCAGGGCCAGCTCTGGGCCTGGCATAGCTCCACTCCAGCCTTGCTCCTGACAAAAAGGCCTCCTCCATCCTGGGCATTCTAGAACGCATAATAGGGCAGATGGTATGGGGAGATGACTGATCGGTGAACTCATGAGCGCATTCTAGGCTGCACTCGGGCGGTCGGGGAGCTCTGTAGAGGCAGTAATTTTATTACTGTCTCCCCTGTGCTTAGCACAATGCCTGGCACATGGTCAATAAACACTGTGATGGAAATGGATGCAGGGCAAGACTGGACGCCAACTGCCTCACCTTTAGGGAGGCAAGGAGCTCCAGCCTTTAGCCCAGACTCTGCGTGTGTGTGTGTGTGTGTGTGTGTGTGTGTGTGTGTGTGTGTGTGTGTGTTCACCCAAGGCTGTGGCACACAATGGAGCTCAATATACATCTGATCAGGCTGATGGGTCTGTGGTGCTCCCCCAGGGCAACCCCAGGTGCTCCTGGATCCCAGCCCCTCCCCTGCAGTCTCCTCTAAGGCTGTATGTCTCGATCCCTGGAGGGTACCCAGGATCCCTGGGCCGGATTATTCGTGATTACCCATGGTAATTACTTATGGTAATAGAGATAACAGATAATTCTGACTACTGGAGGTGGAGGCGAAGGATCTATGATGCAAACCTCCTGGTGGGTTTCAGGGAAACAAGGCAAGGGGCTGAGTCCTCACACCCGACACACACACACACACACACACACACACACACACACACACACACAGACATACACACAAAGACCGGACATCATCATACACAGACACATAGACACATACATACATATACACATATATACATATACATATATGTATATCACACATATACACAGGGACATATAGACACAACAGATACCCACAAGCATTACATCCACGCACACTGGGACACAGACGCGCACACACACCCAGCTGTCACCAACACTGCTGTGGGAGCTAGGGACTCCGGGTAGGAATCTGCTCAGAGGCTATCCTGGAGTCTCCAGCCCCTGGTTGTCTGTCTCTGCCTTGCTCTGGCACATTCAGTACAAGTGCCTGGAGCCCAGGCTCCTCCCCAGGCCAGCACCCTGCCCCCAGTGAGCTCCCGGGCCTGACAGGCTGGCAAAGAGCAAGGAGCAAATGATGATTGAGCACCTTCTCTGTGCCAGGCATCAGGACGCAGCACACCAGTGCCAACGGGGTGATTTTCCAACTTTTTGGAGCCATGGAGCCCTTTGTTTAAAGGGAACTTCATAGGAAAGTCCTGCATATAAAGCAGATACAAGTGGAGCTGCTCTGGCTGGAGTGGAGAAGGAGTCTGGAGCCCCATGCTCTCTCCCTAGCCTCCCATGGTGGCCTTGAGACAGGTCCAAACAGCCCCAAGACTTCACAGCAGCTTGAAAACCACTGCAGGGCACTCTAGCACCTCATGGAACCCTCCAAAGAACTCTGTAAAGTGCATGTTACAATCTCCACTTTGCACATGAGAAAACTGAGGCTTCACAAGGGGCATTAACCTATCCCAGCTCACGAAGCTGTTCAGAGATGAAGTCAATATTAACAACTCCTGTTTATCAGGTTCAAACCCTGGAAGGTCCCGACACCTCTCTATTCTGAGGATAACTCCCTGCATTCGTATAGCATCCAGGGACATATGTCTGTGATTTCCCCTGACCAGATACGCTGCTGACCCTAGAGCTCTGAGTGTGTGTGTGTGTGTGTGTGTGTGTGTGTGTGTGTGTGACAGAGAGAGAGAGAGTTTGTCTTGGGGCTGCCCCCAGGAAGAACGGAAGACCTGTCAACCCTATCAAGTATATACAGACTGTCCCTGACTTACAGTGGCTTGACTTAAAATTTTTCAAATTTACGATGGTGCAAAAGCAATACACATTCAATGGAAACCATACTTCGAGTATCCAACAACTACTCTGTTTTTCACTTTCAGTACAGTATTCAATACATTACATGAGATATTTAACACGTTATTATAAAATAGGCTTTGTATTTGGTGACTTTGCCCAACTGCAGGTGAATGTAAGTGTTCTGAGTACATTTTTTTTTGAAATGGAATTTTGCTCTTGTTGCCCAGGCTGCAGTGCAATGGCATGATGTTGGCTCACTGCAACTTCCATCTCCCAAGTTCAAGTGATTCTCATGCCTCAGCCTCCCGAGTAGCTGGGATTACAGGCACCTGCCACCATGCCCAGCAAATTTTTGTATTTTTAGTAGAGATGGGGTTTCACCATGTTGGCCAGGCTGATCTCGAACTCCTGACCTCAGGTGATCCACCCGCCTCGGCCTCCCAAACTGCGGGGATTACAGGCGTGAGCCACGGTGCCCGGCCTTCTGAGTACGTTGAAGGTGGGCTAGGCTAAGCTATGATGTTCAGTAGAATAGGTGTATTAAATGGAGTTTCAACTTATGATATTTCCAACTTTCAGTGGGTTTATCGGGATGTAACCCCATCGTAAGTCAAGGAGCATCTGCATGAGCCCCATCATGTGTGCCCACGCATGTGTTCACTGGCTCCTGGAGGCATATAATCACAGTTGTTCTTGACCAGTTAAATGCAACATACAAGGAACAACTATGATGTGCCAGGTACTTTGCTAGGCATAGGTAATACCAAGATGAACACAACACAATCTCTCCCCTGGGCAGCTCAGAACCTTCTAATGGAGATGGACACAGTTCTACAGGCAGGGTACCAAAGCTGTAGTCAAGAACAGAGTGAATTGAATTTTTTGCGTAGACAGGGGCATCTTAGGCCCTTCCCGGCAGGGATGAGACATGGACAGGGCCTTGCAGGAGAGACTGCCTTGCCTAGGAAGGGCATTACAGGAGAGTGAAGATGGATGTGCTGGGGGAATGTCGGAGGGGTTGCAAGTGCAGAATGTCTTGAGTTCAAGTCGAACTGAGAGTGGCAAGGACAGGGAGGGGCAGGTATTTTGGGAGAAGTGGCACCTGGGCACCCTGCCTGTCAATCGGAAGTGGATATGAGGCTGCAGTCGGGGTGGAGGAGGGAGTGCCATCTGCTCCAACGCCCCCCACCCCCAGCAAAACACCCAGCTTCTCGGCTTCCTTGGCCATATCCTTCCTGACGGGCCCTGGGGACAACTCTCCCTTCTCTCCCCCCAGGCTCCTTTGGGTGCCAACTGTGGCTGTGAAAGAGGCAGGAAAAGGTTGTGGAGTGGTCAAATGTGGAGGGTTGAAAGGGTTTGGGAGCTCTCTTCCTGAGAAAATAGAGTGTGATGTGAGACAGGGCAGATCCTGAGCTTGCACTGGCCTTCAGCCCCTGCACAGGCCTGAGAGGCAATCTTAGGTCCTCTGCAGCCTTCTTTCTCCACACGGGTCCCCATCCAGGGGACAGCATTCCCAAGCCCTTGGCCACTCTGCATTCTGGGAGCATCACCAGAGCCAGAACACTGAGATCCAGAGATGGGACGGGTCTTGCAGGCAGTTGGTGAAAGGGCCCCCAGCCAGGCTCTCTCCCCAAGCCCTGACCCCCTCCCACTGCTCTTAAGTTTCCGCAAAGAGGGCAGGCAGAGCAGAGCAGCAGAATCTGCAGCCGGGCTCGCTGGCCCCTGTGGAGGCTCTGAGCCCAGTGACCCAGGTTCACTCTGATAACCAATAACTGGAAAGCAGGCCCCTGACATTCCACACTCCCCTCTGAACTAGGAAAGTCCTCCCAGGGACTGGGAGTGAACGGGGAGGCTGGCTCTGCCCCCGCCCTCACCTCCCAAGAGAAGGCCCCATCTCTGAGACTGATGGGACAGGCATCTGACTTGCTCTCAGCAGCTACAGGGAACAGGTTCTTCTCCAGAGCTCAATGATTGAACCAAGCCTCAGCTCATCTCTGTGCAAGAGGGAGGCTCCTCTGGGAGATGCATTAACTCTTTCGACCCAGAAAGCCTGCTGGGCCCCTTCACCCATCTGGTTGGGGGCATTGCTAATGGGGCCAAGGTCATGACTCCACTGGCAAGAGGGTGTGGACAAATCAGTGAGACCCCTCCTCACTGCTAGGAAAACAAGACTGGGAGACTTAAGGCAGCTCCCAGAGGGGCTTACTAGCCCCCACCCAGACAGCTGAGGGGAAGGGGCAGGGGGAAAGTCAGCCCTGAGCCCACCTGCCAGAGGAAGATGTTACTGACTTCCAACCCATGCACAAGTCCTGTTCTCTTCCGGCCTCGCCTCAAGAGCTGACGGGCGAGACGGCAGGTGGGTTCTTACCTCCCAATTAATCACTGCTTTCACTTCCTAAGCGGCACCCCACTGGCTGGAATGGGGGCAGGTGGGGGTACAGGGCTGAGCCAGACTCCCAGGGGACCAGTAGGAGGCACTCAGCCCCAGGAAGAGCTTCTTGGTAATAGCCAAGCCCCTTCCTCTGGGGCCCTGGGGAGAATTAGTGCTTGGGCAATTCCGGCAGCTCCCCAGGCCGAGGTAAAAGCTTTACGGACCCAGATGTGCCTGGAGCTGGGAGGGGCGCTCCTCGGCTCAGAGCCCTCCTTTCTGTCTGCCTCCCCAGGTCCTTTCTCAGCCTCCAGCTGGGCTGTCCCCAAGCTGAGCTGAGGCTCTTCTCCTCCGATCCCCACCTCTGCCCGGACATCCACCATGGGGACAGCCACCAGGAGGAAGCCACACCTGCTGCTGGTAGCTGCTGTGGCCCTTGTCTCCTCTTCAGGTAAGAGGGCTCATCTGGGCTTTGAAGCCTAGCAGGCATGATTATAGTGTTATATCCTTGCTATGATTTGGGTGACGATTACAGAAATCATTGGCTCTGCATTGTGGGAGCAGCTAGATTTCTGAGGCCATTTCCTTGCTAAAATTTCCCATTTGTAGATCTTACCTTCCTTTGAGTTTAGGAGGAGAGGGAATATGTCTTTGCCATATTATAGATGAAGGAAGAATGACCCAGAGAGGGTGAGTGGCTTACCCTAGGTCACACAGCAAGATGATGGCACGCCAGATCTCCACAATATCACCCGGAGTTGTAGCCTCAAAGGCTGCACTGTCCAATATGGAAGGTAATAGCCACATGGGACTACTACAACTCAGATTCAATTCCATTTTAAAAATAATTTCCTCAGGTGCACTAGCCACATTTCGAACGTTCAGTAGCCATATTGGATAGCACACAGCATAGAACATTTCCATCATTGCAGGACATTCTCCCAGACAGGGCTCTGTAGTCCCCTGACATGAGCAGACAGCGGTCAATCCCACTAAACCCTGGAAGGGTTTCTTAAGGCAACGCTGCATCCCAGCAAATGGACCAAGCATAGAACAGGATCTGGGAAGAGATGCGGCAGACGAGGGAGCTGAGGTTCTCCTCCCAGGGGAGCTTCCAGCTTGGAGGAGAGGCAGAGGAAGGCTGGCAGGAGGGGAAGGAGAGGGTGAAGAGGGCAGGCCGAGAGCCACAGGCCAGCTGGACTCTGGAGAGCATGTCAGGCCAGAGGAGCCGGGCCGCTGGCCTGTCCTAGGGCAAGAGGGAGGTCCCCAGCCGCCTCCTGCTCTAAGGGGTCTGCTGGACCCACTGCTTGGCCTCTGCCCTGACCCTCAGCCCAGATCAATAGATGCTTCTTTTCTCCTTAAACATCTCTGTGGGACTCTCCATGGTCCTGGAGTTCTAAGCACCTCAGACTCCACCTCCCCTACCCCACACCCCCTGCAAGGCTACAGCCGGTGCATTTCAGGTCCTTTGTCTCACGAGGGAGGGACTCCACTGGCATACTTTCAGACGTTCTCATTCTGTCCTCACTGCTTCCCAGTCCTGCAGCTCAGTCAGTGAGGCTGCTGGGAAACAGGGCTGACTCAGAGTGTGGGGCGAGCCATCCAGCCCCCCAGGCCTCGCTACCTGTCCAAGGGTCCACCAGACTGGGAAGAGCTACAGGGATGGGAAGCCTCAACTGCACAGAGCAGGAGATGGGCACCCCAGACGGAGCAGAGGGGAGGCGCCTGGGCTTCTAGCATCCGCTCCCTCAGGGACACCTCAGTGCTGGATCCACACCATCTGAGGAAAGGGGTATGGACAGCATCCAAGTTCCTTAGACCCAGAGACACATGAAGCCAATGACCAAGGGGCTGGGATCTGGTCTGCCACCTCCCAGAGCTCCAGAGAGAGACAGGAGTGGCAAATCCCATCGCTGGCCCCCACCCCTCCCAGGAAGTTGCCTCAGCTCTGGGCCTTTCTTGCTGCCCTGTCCTCGGGATATAGCTGTGGATTCCTGGCACTCCAGTGCAAGGAGGGGTATCAAGGATCCCTCTCCACCTTCTCATCTCTTTAACTCCGTTCCTCTGCAAGGTTTCTGACGCCTGTGTTTGGGGGAAAAGTTACCAGGACAGGGCATCAGAAAAGAATCAGAGAGGATGAGGAACAAGAATAAGGAAGGGCTGGCCTCGCCTGGGAGAGTGTGTTTTGTTGTTGTTGTTGTTGTTTGCGGGTTTTGTTTTTGTTTTTGAGATGGAGTCTTACTCTGTTGCCCAGGCTGGAGTGCAGTGGTGTGATCTTGGCTCTCTGCAACCTCTGACTCCTGGGTTCAAGCGATTCTCCTGCCTCAACCTCCCGAGTAGCTGGGATTACAGACACTCGCCACCACGCTCGGCTAATTTTTGTATTTTTGGTAGAGACGGGGTTTCACCATGTTGGCCAGGCTGGTCTCGAACTCTCGAGCTCAGGTGATCCTCCTGCCTCCGCCTCTCAAAGTGCTGGGATTACAGGCAGAGAGTGTGTTTTTGCATGTGCATGTGTAAGCACACACACGGGGAGGCTCATGTGTGGGTGGGTGTGTATGTAGCTGAAGAGGCAAGTGTGGGTGTGTGAGGGTGTCTGTGGATATGGATGGCTGAGAGGCTGGAGGTATGAGTGAGGTGCCTGCATGGAGGTGGTACTACGCTGGGGATAATGAATGTGTCCAGAAAGTCTCACAGCACAGTGTGACCAGCTCTCATATCCCAGCCTCCCTGCAGAATGCCCAGGGGCATTTTCTAAGACTTGGTCTCCTGAGCCTCACTCCAAGAGATTCTGACTCCTTATCTGTGAGATGGAGCAGGGCCTCTGGTGGTTCTGATGGGAAACAGAGGTCAAGAGTCAGGAACAGTGGGGTTAAGAATGCTTGTGGTGGGGTCAGCCTGGCCAAGGTCCAACCCCCCAGATCCGCTCCTTCTCGCTGTGGGATCTGGGGCAAGTTATTGAAGCTTTCTAACTGTCAGTTTCCATGTCAGGAAAATAAGAAAATGGCAATACCTATCTTGTAAAGAGGTTATGAGAAGGAAATATGGAGCATGGTATGGGATAAATAGTAAGCAGTCCGTCTATAGCACCTATTTTTATTATTATGAATGCATGGATTATATATAAAAGTCTCCATGGCCATCTATAGCTGTGTGTCAGGGGGGAATGGATGTGTGTGTAAATGTATGTATCTTGCCATTTGAGCAGCTTAGGGAGGTGCATATGTACGAATGTGTGTATGACATGAGCGTGCATATAAGAAAATGTGTGTAGGTGAGAGATGCGAAGGGGTGTGTATGTGAATATTTGGGTGAGTGGACAGCTGAGAGCAGAGGAGAAAGGTTTCTCGGGAAGAAAGAGTCTGAATGTATCAACATGCCCTGAGCCCACTCAGCCACCCCATCACCCAGCGTTCCTGGAAGCTGCTATTGTACTAGGTGGTTCCCAGCAGTCCGGCTGCCTCCCAGCGCCTCCTTTGCCTCCCCTCCCAGCAGTGCCAGCTGGGGCAGGATTCCTACCGTACACCACCATCATTAACTTGGGATTAAGCTGGACTTTCCAGCCGAGATGATGCCGTCACCGCCCGCCGCCTCCGCCTCTGAGGCCTGGGGCGGCAGTGAGGGAGAATGGCACAAGGGATGCCTGCACCGGGCCATTCCTGGGAGCCCTGCCTCCTACCTCATTCTGAGAGCTGCTTAGCAGCTGCCCTCACTCCCAGGGGGCCAAGGCTGGGCCTCAGCTGCAGCATGGGGCCACCCCCTACCCCTGGAAGAGGACTGATGGCTGGATGCGCTGGGAAAGGAACTAATTAGTTAATGGGGATCCCTTTCCCCATGACCCACCAAGGAAGGCCTGAAATCAGCTGCGTTAAGAGGTAGAAGCCAATTAGGGATAGCCTGGCTCCCACCTGACACCGCAGAAGCAAAACGGACTGGCCCCACCAGTCAGCAGAGAGCCCACCCCAGCCCTGTCGAAGGGCAGGTGTGATGTCCGGCCAATCTGTGGCTCTTCATCCCCTGCCCTGCCCTGCAGCAGGACAATGATGCATGAAGAGAGAGGAGTCTGCCCCATTTGCCTGTGTGGTGCTCATTGGTCCACCAAGCTCAGGAGGAATTGATCTGTCTGTGCCACAGACTTGCTGGGTGACCATGGGCAAGTCACTCCCTTTTCTGGACATTTCTTGAATTGTGATACTGGAATTGTATAAAACTGCCACCAAAGCAAACTGCCCACCCTCCACCCACCATAAGGCAATCCTTCTCCTCCAAGTCCCCACCCCACATGTGGCTCCAGCAGACATCTGCTGAGCACACTCTCCGTGCCCGCCACCTTCCAAGGGTTTGTCTGGCTGAATCCTCATGCAGACCCTGGGAGGTGAACTCATATTCTTTTCATTTCACAGGTGAAGATACTGAGGCTCAGAAGAGTTCTATAACTTTCCCAAGGTCCCACAGCTAGTAGAGGGCCAGCCTAGTCCCCAGGCCCAGGCCTCGTTGGTCCACACTGCCCCAGTAAGGGTATTAGGCTCCAGGGACACACATCCTCTCTGCATGTTTGTGGCTGGCGACGTCTCATGCACCTCACACCCCACAGATCAGTTCTTCTGTAAGGGTCCCTTGAAAGCCCCCTGGGAGGTAGAACTGCTTCCATTCTGAGGCCCCAGCATCTTGAACTTTATGGCATTTGCTACCTTGCACTGTCAATTTCCTGTCTCCCTCCTTGGACCGCAAGCCCCTTGAAGAAGAGGGACTGTGTCTTAATCATCTTTACAAGCCAGTCTCTAGCCCAGTGCTGGGTATAGAGCAGGTGCTCAATACCTAAGTGTAGGATGGGTGATTGATTGAACTAGTATGGCCAGATGGGGCCTGCCCAGCCTATTTAAATTCAAATTTAAATTAATTAAGTAATATAAAATGTAAAATGTCGTTCTTCAGTCGCAATAGCCACATGTCAAGTGCTCGATAGCCCTACGTGGCTAGTGGTTACCACATTGAACAGTGCAGAAAATGGGACATTCCCATCATCAGAGAAAGTTTTACTGGACAGCACAGCCCAAGAGGCCAGGCTCCAGCCAGGCCAAGGCTCTGAGGCATCTGGTGGTGTCATCACCTGCAGCTTGGAGTTCAGCCCTGGGATCCCAAACCACCTTCGGGCCTGTCTTTGAAGACCAGCCCCTCAGTGTGCTATTCCCAGAGGAGTCCACGGAGGAGCAGGTGTTGCTGGCATGCCGCGCCCGGGCCAGCCCTCCAGCCACCTATCGGTAAGGCCTCTGCAGTGGGTGCTGGGAGGCCCTGGGCAGCCGTTGAACTTTCCCTCTCATCAGCCCTGCCACCAGGCAGGACTCAGAGGTCCCCTTCCTCTGTCCCCTGCTGCAGGTGGAAGATGAATGGTACCGAGATGAAGCTGGAGCCAGGTTCCCGTCACCAGCTGGTGGGGGGCAACCTGGTCATCATGAACCCCACCAAGGCACAGGATGCCGGGGTCTACCAGTGCCTGGCCTCCAACCCAGTGGGCACCGTTGTCAGCAGGGAGGCCATCCTCCGCTTCGGCTGTGAGACCCGCGGGGGACCAAGACACTTTGGGGGAGGGGGAGAGGGGGCTAGGAGAAATTACTGAGAAAGGATAAGGGACACCCTCAAGCCGGGCCTTCCTGACCTCACATGACATGCCTTAGTGAACTGCTGCTTCTCCGTGAAGGATGAGTCGGGGAGGGGCTCGCAGGCCAGGAGGACAGTGCCTGAGCCCCTGGTCTCTGCCTCCAGTTCTGCAGGAATTCTCCAAGGAGGAGCGAGACCCAGTGAAAGCTCATGAAGGCTGGGGGGTGATGTTGCCCTGTAACCCACCTGCCCACTACCCAGGTGAGTCCAGACCTGGGGCCAGGGTTAGAGAGGGCACAGGAAGGGCTTCCAGATGCTTGGCAGAGGAAGGATGGAATAAAAGGAGACCCCTGGAAATGACCCTTAGAAGCACCCATCCCTGGGACCCTAACTTTAAATGATCTGTGTTTCCTTTATAGGTCTGTCACTTTCCATCGTTGTGCCCTGCTTCCGCCTTCAAACTGGGTGGCCCCTGAGGGCTGCGATCCCTGGCAGACTTAGCGCTCCCTGAGGGCAGGAATAAAGTCACTTCTTCCCTCTAGGTCTCCCCTTAGCCCCAGTTCAGAGCATGGTGGCTGTCAGGACAGGGCTTGCAGAACCGCACCAGCATGCTGGGGTCCCACCCAGAGTGGCCCTGTTAGCCCAGCACCCCCTGGTTTCCTCAAACTCCTCACATCCTAGGCTTGTCCTACCGCTGGCTCCTCAACGAGTTCCCCAACTTCATCCCGACGGACGGGCGTCACTTCGTGTCCCAGACCACAGGGAACCTGTACATTGCCCGAACCAATGCCTCAGACCTGGGCAACTACTCCTGTTTGGCCACCAGCCACATGGACTTCTCCACCAAGAGCGTCTTCAGCAAGTTTGCTCAGCTCAACCTGGCTGCTGAAGGTCAGGCTTGGCCAGGCGTGGCTGGAGGGAGGGAACTGGAAGGGTCAGCGGGCATTAGGAAAAGGGTTTTTCCTTTGGAGATTGGAAGATCAGCTTGCAGGGCACTGATTCCAGGCCCTGGACCCCCAGATCCTCCTGCTTCAAATCCTGAGGCCCTTGCCCCAGGCCTCAAGGAGATTCCACACAGCTGCCTAGACAGAGTTGGCTCTGAAAGGTGCTGAGATCCCATGCACGGGAGCACCTGACCTGGAGTCATCTGCATCTGATTTGTAAAACCCTCTCTCCCCAGATACCCGGCTCTTTGCACCCAGCATCAAGGCCCGGTTCCCAGCAGAGACCTATGCACTGGTGGGGCAGCAGGTCACCCTGGAGTGCTTCGCCTTTGGGAAGTGAGTGTGAAGAGGGAGGGGAAGCAGAGCACGGTCTCTCGGGGGCACAGGTGACCCCAGGGTGAGGGCAGGCAGAGTCAGGGCTCTTATCTTGGTGTCCCTCACAGGGTCTAGCAAAGTACTGGGCACACAGTGGGTATCGACCACCACTCACTGGACAGTACCTCTCTGGGTGAGGCATCGCATATGCCAGGGGCCTTCCATGGCCAGGATCACTTGGTCTTCCAGCAGTGCATGGCAGGCTCAGACAGCTTGAGTAACACCCAGGGCTGGAGGCAGGCAGCACAGTGTACAGACTCCAACCCTGTCTGTCTCATTCAGATCCCAGCTCTGCCACCCGCAGACCTTGGGTAAACTGCCTAACCTCTCTGTGCCTCAGTTTCTTTATGGTGGTGATAATAGTACCTACCTCATAGGGTTGTCATGAGGATTAAATCAGTTCATATATGTGAGATACTTAGAACAGTGCCTGGAATTTAGTTAAGTGTTCCGTGAATGTTAACAGTGATCTATTTGAGAATGGCAGCAGAAAGTGTTCTCTTTCTCGTACTCCTAGAAGAAGGAGTCACTAGAACAGGGCTAAGCAAATAGCAGGTGCTCAATAAATGTTTGTAGTATGAAAGAAAGAATGTGATTTGTACTTTGGCCCCCTCCTCCCTCAACTATCTCCTATGGTTACCTGGGAGAATCTCTGCCTTGTGGGAAGTTTTGGGCTTCCAGAAAATCCACATGAAAAGCATGTGGAAGTGGGGCCAGGTGCGGTGGTTCATGTCTGTAATCCCAGCACTTTGGGAGGCCGAGGTGGGAAGATCATGAGGTCAGGAGATCGAGACCATCCTGGCTAGCACGGTGAAATCCAGTCTCTACTAAAAATACAAAAAAAACTAGCCAGGTGTGGTGGCGGGTGCCTGTAGTCCCAGCTGCTCGGGAGGCTGAGGCAGGAGAATGGTGTGAACCCGGGAGGCAGAGCTTGCAGTGAGCCAAGATTGCCCCACTGCACTCCAGCCTAGGTGACAGAGCGAGACTCCGTCTCAAAAAAAAAAAAAAAAAAAGAAAAAAAAGAAAAGCATGTGGAAGGGGAATATATTAACCCATTAAAACTGATACCTCAGTCCGTTTTAGTGCACAGATTACTACTAACTAAAGTCCCTTTCAAAGTAGGGGCAAGGCCTGCCCTGTAGAGGCAACGGAAAAGAGAACCCGTAAAGACCCAGGTCACAGGCCACTGTGGCGGAGGGCAGACCCAGAGGCATGGTGACCGGTGCGGGAGAGGGCAGGCCAGCTTCAGGGTGCAGACCCCGCAGAAGCCCGGCTTCACTGGCTCCAGGGTTGTTGCAGGGGGGATGGGTAGAGCAGCCCTGCCTCTTGCCCCTTCCCTGCGTGTGCTCCGAGCCTACCTGGGAGAGGAGAGTGAGGATCAGCCAGAAGGCACCCTCTCTCCCTCTGTTCCTCCCAGGCCCAGCATCTCAGGAGGGCCTGAGAGTCTGGGTATGAGGAGCTGCGGGCACTGGAGGGGTAGGCCCAGCTCAGCCCACACCCTCTGGCTTTGTCTCTCCTGCCAGCCCTGTCCCCCGGATCAAGTGGCGCAAAGTGGACGGCTCCCTGTCCCCGCAGTGGACCACAGCTGAGCCCACCCTGCAGATCCCCAGCGTCAGCTTTGAGGATGAGGGCACCTACGAGTGTGAGGCGGAGAACTCCAAGGGCCGAGACACCGTGCAGGGCCGCATCATCGTGCAGGGTACAGAGCCAGGGACACCTTCTCCGCCCCTCCCGACCCCCCTTCCCGCCTTCACCCTTGTCCCCAAGGAAACAGACCCAAAAGTCAGGGAGGAGACTGGGAGGCCCCCTGCATGAGCCTGCTTGCCCTAGGACTGCACTGAGTCTGGGACCAGAGGAGGCTAGTGCTGTGGTCACCTCAGAGCTTCAGTCAGGGGTGCAGAAAGCACACAGGAGGCTCCAGAATGATTTAAGTTGCAAAAGCAGCCACTGGCACAGCCACAGAGTGCCAGCTTTCTTGTGCCTCCTTCTTCCGGCCCCCTCCTCTTTGTCCTCTCCATCTCAGAATGCTCATGGCGCCCTCTGCTGTCTGGCACAGGTGCTGCTGCCCTGATTTTCTGTTCCTTTTAATGAGCTGGAAGCTCCTCCTAGCTCATGCCAGGTTTTCTTTTCCGGGCTCCCACAGCTCAGCCTGAGTGGCTAAAAGTGATCTCGGACACAGAGGCTGACATTGGCTCCAACCTGCGTTGGGGCTGTGCAGCCGCCGGCAAGCCCCGGCCTACAGTGCGCTGGCTGCGGAACGGGGAGCCTCTGGCCTCCCAGGTAGGAGACATGGGGCTTCCCCCGACACATCACAACTGTCCTCTGCTCACTTGGTTCCCTCCCCCGCCCAGAACTTCCCCTGCACCACTAGTAGCCCCTCTGGGCTAATTAGGGTGTCAGAGGGTGGTCCTAGGACCACCTAAGGACTTCTTCCCATCCCAGTCCCATTGTCACAGGCTAGGCCTGGATCCAGGCACAGTTCAGCCACAAAAGAAGTGATGTGGTCCTGACTGGGTCACCTCACCCTTCCAGCTTTGGGGAGGCCTGGGTAATCTGCATCCTGAGGTTCCAGGCAGCCCTGAGGTAGGACTGGACATATAAGCCATATCCTCTAGGGATTATCAGCCTAGAGTCTCCACTGCTCCCACCCCTGCCAACCCCTCCTCCCTGTGGCTCCTGTGGTCCTGATCCCCCTGGGCTCTGGGCTCTTCTGCACAGAACCGGGTGGAGGTGTTGGCTGGGGACCTGCGGTTCTCCAAGCTGAGCCTGGAAGACTCGGGCATGTACCAGTGTGTGGCAGAGAATAAGCACGGTACCATCTACGCCAGCGCCGAGCTAGCCGTGCAAGGTAAGGGGCCCAGGGAGGCAGGGGACATCCCAAGGACATGCATATGGTGGCTTTCAGAGCTCTGAGTTTAGGTGTTTCCAAACACACATGCACATACCCTGTGGCCATTTTCCTTGGTTTTCCAACAGTTTCTAAGTAGGAGAACTCAGAGATTTAAGAAAGGAGATGAGACACAGGGTTGACAGCTGCCAGAGGGCAGGGTCTCTGACTTGTTCCATGTCTGGCACACAGTAAATGTTTGCTGCAGTGAGTGAAAAAAACAGAAACCAAATCAATCAGATTTGTGTAACCCAACCCTTTCAGCTATGTGAGCTTTGGCAAGTTACTTAGTGTTTCTGTGTTTCAGTTTCTTGATTATAAAATATAGGCAATAATAGTCCTGCCCTCCTGGGCTGCTGTATGGAACAAGTGAGATGAAAGAGGTACAGCATAAAGGGCCTGCCCACCATACAGCAGGTGCCCGGGAAATGTAAGCCAGTGCTAATATTTAGTTGTGTGACTTGAGCTCACTGAGCCTCAGTTTCCTCATCCATAAAATGGACACAGTGATACCCACCACATCAGGTTTTAGTGAAGCTTTGCTAAGAAGCATTCATTCGTTCCTTCATCCATTCAACCACTACTTACTCAACACTTCACAGGGATGAATATAAAAGATACGGTCTCTGCCTTTAAGTAGCTTACAATCCAGTAGAGGGAAAGGGACAAATAAACCCCAAATCAAACAATTAAATAATTTCAGCTAGCCATCAAATATAGTATAAAGAAAATCCAGGCAGGGTGCAGTGGCTCATGCCTGTGTAATCCCAGCACTTTGGGAGGCAGGGGTGAGTGGATCTCCTCAAGCTCAGGAGTTTGAGACCAGCCTGGGCAACATGGTGAAACCCCATGTCTATGAAAAACACAAAATTTAGCCAGGCATGGTAGCACACACGTGTAGTCCCAGCTACACAGGAGGCTGAGGCAGGAGAATCACTTGAGCCCTGGAGGCAGAGGCTGCAGTGAACTGAGATTGTGCCATTGCACTCCAGCCTGGGCAACACAGCAAGACTTGTCTTTTAAAAAAAAAAAAAGAAGAAGAAAGAAAAGAAAAGAAAAAGAAAGAAAGAAAGAAAGAAAGAAAAGAAAAGAAAACCCAGTAGAGTGATGGGCGTGAGATGGGCCTGTTAGGTGGGGTGGTCAGAGAAGTCCTCTCTGAGGAAGTCTCATTTAGACTGTGACCTGAATGTTAAGAAGCCAGCCGCGTGAAGATCTGGGGAATTTCCAGGCAAGATTTACAGCAAGTGCAAAGCTCTGGAGGCAGGAAAAGACTTCACAACTTCAAAAGAGAGAGAGAGAGAAAAAAAAAGGCTAGGTGATTGGAACATAATGAATGGGGGATAGAGTGGAGCAAGATGCGATTGGAAAGGTGGAGACTTATTTGTGAAGAGCCGGGCTTCACTGAGTGTGAGTTGAAAAAGCTGTTCATTCCCAACTGGGTGGAGAAAAGATTGTAGAAGGAAGGTGCAGAAACAGGAAGACTGATGTGGGGTGGCAGGGGTGGTGGTGAGGGGCGGAGGGGGGGCGCGTTGTCAATAGTCCAGGCGGGAGATTTGATAGCTTAGGCCAGAGAAAAAAGGGCTTGGTTCTGGATGCATTCTGGAAGAGGTGCTAATAGGAGTCACTCATGGCGTGGCTTCAAAGGGCACGCCAAGTAACGTCTTAATCAAGGGTGACAGTACTTTTCTCTGTGGCTCTCCCCTTTCCTTCTAGCACTCGCCCCTGACTTCAGGCTGAATCCCGTGAGGCGTCTGATCCCCGCGGCCCGCGGGGGAGAGATCCTTATCCCCTGCCAGCCCCGGGCAGCTCCAAAGGCCGTGGTGCTCTGGAGCAAAGGCACGGAGATTTTGGTCAACAGCAGCAGGTACCACCCACACCCCACCCTGCACAGTTCCTGCTCCTCCTCATTCTCCATGGAGGCCAATTCCCCTCCTGTGACAACAGTCACAGGAGTTGGCCAGCCCCAGGGACAACCATGCCTGAGTTGGCCACATCTGCCTTGTCCTTGCCACAGAGTGACTGTAACTCCAGATGGCACCTTGATCATAAGAAACATCAGCCGGTCAGATGAAGGCAAATACACCTGCTTTGCTGAGAACTTCATGGGCAAAGCCAACAGCACTGGAATCCTATCTGTGCGAGGTGAGGGCTGCCATGTGGGTAGGCCGGGGGCTCAGCCTCCTCAGGGTACTGTCCTCCCCATCATCCTGCTCCTGTGTCCACATTGCTCCTAGTTTGGTGTCAAGGCCACCCCAGGATTCAGTTTTGCTTGGGACCACCCCCTGGCCACCACTGAGACTCTGGTCATGCCTCCCTGCCTGCCACACACTCATGCAGTCCTGGGCAGTTGGGACCTGTGGGTCACACCACCTCTTCTCTTTGCTGGGCCTTAGGACAGAGCCTCTCAGCCTGCCCTGCGGACCCGGCCTGGGCCCATTTCCTCCCCCATCCACCCAAGGGCCTTGTTTTTCTTGGCAGATGCAACCAAAATCACTCTAGCCCCCTCAAGTGCCGACATCAACTTGGGTGACAACCTGACCCTACAGTGCCATGCCTCCCACGACCCCACCATGGACCTCACCTTCACCTGGACCCTGGACGACTTCCCCATCGACTTTGATAAGCCTGGAGGGCACTACCGGAGAACTAATGTGGTGAGACCTAGGGCCAGAGCCCCATGGCTTCTCCCTCCTTCTAGAGAGACAGGGGCCCCAAGATGTCCTTAGCCATCCTCACCTTTAAGAAACCCATAGCCTAAGCGCCCCCATTCCCTCAGGCCCACACATGGCAAGCTCATCCTTGGATGAACAGCTGACCTTCCTGGATTCCACCCAGGGACCATGCATTTAGGAGAGGGTTAGGGACAAACCTGGAGTTGTGGGCAGCCACCAAGACACTCCCACTACTGTTCTTGTTAGCCTGTCCCCTAGGGCAAATGATATTATTAATGTGGACAGTCATTGACTGTCTCCTGAAACAAACTTTGCTGTTTAGTCCCCAGTGGTTCTAAGTGATGAGTCGTGATTCCTCCCATTGAGCAGACAGGAAAACTGAGATCCAGTGGGGTCCATGGATGTCATGGAGTAGGGGACTCCCAAGCGCTGCCTCATGTCTCATGGCCTGCTGCACTGGTCAGGGCCGGTGGTCTGACCTGCTGCCCCTAACTGTCCCCGTGTGCAGAAGGAGACCATTGGGGATCTGACCATCCTGAACGCCCAGCTGCGCCATGGGGGGAAGTACACGTGCATGGCCCAGACGGTGGTGGACAGCGCGTCCAAGGAGGCCACAGTCCTGGTCCGAGGTGAGGGGTTTCCCACCTCTACCCCTACCCCAACTCCCTTAAAACCCAGCTGGGCTGTTCTGACCTGCTCGCCTCATCTCCCCTCCCTTCCCTCAAAGCTGCGGGGAAGGGCTTCCGGCGGAACTCCTGTGAGCTGGATATACCCTGTGGTTCTTCACAGGTCCTAAATGATCAGGACATTTTTCTTCCAAAGTCAAAGTTTAAAAAATCCACTCCTAAACACATCCCAAGACAGGAGTGCTTTACTGAGCCCTGAAGTTTTCAAAGCCTAGTGCTGGGAGATCTATGCACCTCTCCATGTGACAGCCTCTGTGAGCTCCCCCAGCCTTGAGACACATCCCTCCACCCAACAACTGGCACCCGCCCCAACTGCCCACACCCCTTGCCCGCCCTCCCGCCTGGGTGTGTGTTCACTGCATCCTCTGCTGCCCTGTCTTGGTACTGTACCAGCTCAAGCCTGGCTGGGAGGAGGTTGGCTCAAATTGGAAGCTGCCCAATTCTGACCCACTGTGCTCTGACCTCTTGGTGCAGGTCCGCCAGGTCCCCCAGGAGGTGTGGTGGTGAGGGACATTGGCGACACCACCATCCAGCTCAGCTGGAGCCGTGGCTTCGACAACCACAGCCCCATCGCTAAGTACACCCTGCAAGCTCGCACTCCACCTGCAGGGAAGTGGAAGCAGGTTCGGACCAGTAAGTGTGAGCCCCACCTGGGTCAGTGCTGATAAGGCTCGACTGGGTGTAGGAGGTGGAAAGGGTCAAGGTTTGGGGATCGGGGTCTGAGGGCCAGGGCTGAGCCTGGAGCTTCAAAGAGGGACAAGATCTGTCCTCTGCCAGCAGAGAGCATGCAGGCAGGCAGGAAGACAGTCACACAGAAAGTAGGAGAGTCGGGAAAGAGTTAGAAGAGGAGGCGCTTGGTCTATGCCCTTGAAGAATTGGTAGGATTGTTACTGGAGCAATGAAAATATTCATGGGGACATAGGGGCGTAGGCGTGCACACAGCATTGCAGAGGCACCAAGATAGGGAAATTGAGTAGTTTTTCAATCATTTCTGAAAAAGGTACTGAGTGCTTAGTATATGGCAAGTACCGAAGTGAGGGCTGGGTAGATAAGGGGTGATTCAGGCCAGTGCCTGCCCTCTGCACCCAGATGAATAAGCGAATGCTGGAATATGGACTCCCTGGTGCCTTGCAGATCCTGCAAACATCGAGGGCAATGCCGAGACTGCACAGGTGCTGGGCCTCACCCCCTGGATGGACTATGAGTTCCGGGTCATAGCCAGCAACATTCTGGGCACTGGGGAGCCTAGTGGGCCCTCCAGCAAAATCCGGACCAGGGAAGCAGGTGAGAGTCCTGTGTGTCCCAAAAAGCTATCATCAGGGCAGAGACCCTGGCACCACTTATAGGGAATGCCAAGCCAGCCGCAATTATGCTGAGTTCCAACCCTGCTCACAGGGTTCAGACTCTCACAAAACAGAGGAGGACAGAACACCAAGTTGGGACCAGGGCCACTGCATGGACAAACCATCTAGTCCAAACTCCTCATTTAAAAACTGGCCAACCTTACAACTGCATGTGCATCTATAATTTTTTTAAGTTTAATTTTTAAAAGTGGAAAAACCAAAGTTCGGAGAAAGGAAGAGTCACATTGACAGAGCTTGGACTTGAACCCAGGACCATGGGGTGGTAGACAGATGTCTTCCTGGAAGAGTATGCACTACAGAAATCAGTTAATGCTGGCTGGGCGCAGTGGCTCAAGCCTGTAATCCCAGCACTTTGGGAGGCCGAGGCAGGCAGATCACCTGAGGTCAGAAGTTTGAGACCAGCCTGGCCAACATGGTGAAACCCCGTCTCTACTAAAAATACAAAAATTAGCCAGGCGTGGTGACACACACCTGTAAATCCCAGCTACTCGGGAGGCTGAAGCAGGAGAATCGCTTGAACCCGGGAGGTGGAGGTTGCAGTGAGCCAAGATTGTACCACTGCACTCCATCCTGGGCGACAGAGCGAGACTCCATCTCAAAAAAAAAAAAAAAAAAAAAAAAAAAAGAAAGAAAAAAAGGAAATCAGTTGATGTGAAAGATGTGTGTGTGTTCTGTGCAGGGGGCTAGGGAAGCAGCCAGTGTCTCCAAGCCTTTAGATGGTTTCTTTGGGAGCAGATGGAATTGAATAACCTGCCCACAACCCTCAGCAAAAAGCGTGTGGGTGTCAGAACTTGAGTGGAGAAGGAGGGGGAGAAAAGAACCCAGGAGAGAGTAGGGGAGGCACAGGCTCCAGTCAGCATCTGCTGAGAGGCTCCTGCCCATCTCCGAGCCATTCGCAGGGGAAGGCCTGGAATGAGAGCCCGGGGATCCTGGGACCAGGAGCATAGATTAAGGACCCTGCCTCACCTCCTCTACAGACCTGTTGCACTGGATGTGTAGTGAGGGTCCACCTTCTTGTCTGCCTGAAACATGTTCTCCTACATGCCCCAGACTGACTCTCCAGGCCCTTTTTCTAGAATCACTCAACATTTTTAGCTGGTACCTCTCCTGAGTAAGAAATTCCAGAGGCAGCACTTTCTTTGATTGATCCTGAACTTCTTGGAGGGTCAAATGTGGAGAAATGAGGGGACTCCTTTATTCTATTTACAGCATCCCAGTAGCTGAGGAGCACAAAGACAGCTGTGATGCAAAGGAAACATGATGGGCTTTAAAATGAGAAGGGCTGAGTTCAGATTCTACCTGTGCCATGTATTAACTGTGTGACCTTAGGCAAGTTGATTAACTGCTCTGGGCCTCAGTCTTTCCACCCTGAAAAGGGCAATAATAACACCCACCTCACAGGATCAAATGGCCAATGTGTTTAAGTACCTCTTGCAAATTACACGGTCCTAAACTATTGTCATCAGAAGCAAGTGAAAAATCTCCAGCTGCTGGATTCTCTACGGAAATATTTTGACCCCCAGCCAAGTTACTTTCTGCCAAGCTGCAGGAGCTGATGAAATAAATTCCTGTTTTAATATCAGCCTTGTTTAATACTAGAGACAATTAGGAGATTAAATCTGCAACAAAAAGAAAAATAGATAATATATCACCCTGGAGCCCAAAAGTAGTTTGTTTTGTTTGTTTGTTTGTTTGTTTGTTTGTTTGTTTGTTTGCATTAACTGCAGTTCTGGGTTATTTATTCCCCTTATTTTAAAGCGAGTGAGAGTTGGTCTCTGTGATTTAGTTTAAGTTGATGGAGTAAGGAGGACAATGATCATGTGTGCATCATCTGCTCTATACTAACCACCGTCTTGTCTAATTTCATTCTCATTATGGCCTCTGAGAGAAACATGATTATCTTCATGGAGAAGAGAATCAGAGGCTCAGAAAGGTTAAGTGACTTGCCCAGGGAAGCACAGCTAGTAAATGGCAGAGGTGGGATTTGATTTCAGGACTGCCTGACTCCAAAGCCTATGTTCAGAGGGACCACTGGGGGGCAAACCCAGGGCCCAGTTGAAGGGGTTCCCATCTTACGGTGCTCTACAGGCACAGGCTCAGGGCTTTCATTTTTTCCTTGCTCATTAACAAGCCATATCGGTGTCCCTTGGCCCTTGACAGCCCCCTCGGTGGCACCCTCAGGACTCAGCGGAGGAGGTGGAGCCCCCGGAGAGCTCATCGTCAACTGGACGGTAAGCTGCAAGGGTCAGATGTCCTCCTCCTCCTCCCTGACCCCTCTCCCGCTTGAGCAGCTGCAGAAAGGACCACTGCACAGCTCTGACTCAAACGCGGATAACTTCCTGTCCCCCTTCCACGCACCCGCTGCCCCTTACGCGAATCCACGCTGCAGGCGTAGGCGTCCAGGGCCGCTACTCTTGGCAAAGGTTGGGTGGGGCCAGGGAACGGGCAGGGACACATGCCGCGGACCCTCGCCCATGCCATGCTCTTGCCCCTCAGCCCATGTCACGGGAGTACCAGAACGGAGACGGCTTCGGCTACCTGCTGTCCTTCCGCAGGCAGGGCAGCACTCACTGGCAGACCGCCCGGGTGCCTGGCGCCGATGCCCAGTACTTTGTCTACAGCAACGAGAGCGTCCGGCCCTACACGCCCTTTGAGGTCAAGATCCGCAGCTACAACCGCCGCGGGGATGGGCCCGAGAGCCTCACTGCACTCGTGTACTCAGCTGAGGAAGGTGGGCTGCCCCTGGGCCCCCTGCTCGTCCCTACCCCAGCCACTTGTCCACAGGGATGTGGGGTGGGGGAACGCTACTCATCTCCCAGCTCAGTTCCATAGGAGGAGGTTGAGAGGACACCTGGGTTCCACATCATTGGCCTCACTTCCAGCTCTTGCTACCTTGTCTCCCTTCGGGGTTAGGAAAAGGGAGGCTCTCTGGGAATAGAAGTGGGCCCTGGAGCATTGCTTGGGGGGCTCCCACTCGGCCTTCATCCTGAAGGCTTTCCTCCAAAATCTTAAGCAAAGGCAATCCTGGTTGGGGGCTGCTCTGCAGGACACAGGGGGGCCCTGGGAATCCAAACCCATTCTGTATTGGTCCCCAGAGCCCAGGGTGGCCCCTACCAAGGTGTGGGCCAAAGGGGTCTCATCCTCAGAGATGAACGTGACCTGGGAACCCGTGCAGCAGGACATGAATGGTATCCTCCTGGGGTATGAGGTGAGCACCAACCTGGGACTTGGGAGAGGAAGGGGTGCTGGGGCTTCAAAGCCAGGTGGGAACAACTCACAGACCACTAATCATTCCTCCTGGCGTCCCTGGTTCGCTGACATGGCAAACTGAGCATCCAGTCTGTGTAGCACTGTGAATGCAAATTTCACTAAGACCCCATGGCAGGCCAGGCGCGGTGGCTCATGCCTGTAATCCCATCACTTTGGGAGGCTGAGGCGGTAGATCTCCTGAGATCAGGAGTTTGAGACCAGCCTGGCCAACATGGTGAAGCCCCGCCTCTACTAAAAATACAAAAATTAGCTGGGCATGGTGGCCCATGCCTGTAATCCCAGCTACTCAGGAGGCTGAGGCAGGAGAATCGCTTGCGTTCAGGAGGCAGAGGTTGCAGTGAGCTGAGATTGCGCCACTGCACTCCAGCCTGGGTGACAAAGCGAGACTCCATCTCAAAAAAAAAAAAAAAAAGACCCCATGGCTTATGCCCATTGGGGAAGACAGACCCTGGAGGCAGCCTTAAAGTAAATGCTTGGCTAGAGCCAGCATTGGAAGCTGAGAGGGTAGAAGGAACAGGTTCTGGGAAGGGGCATGGCCTGCCCCTTTCATCCCAGAGCCCATTCAGGCTGGCCTGTCCAGGGCTGCACAGAAAACAGCCTGAGCCGCTCTATGGACAGTTGATCATCCTGTCCCGGGGGAATCTGGGGCCCAGCAGTCTGGCCTGAGTCCTGGGCCCACTGAGAACTCCACAAAGGGGTACCTGTGGAGCAGATGGCAAGTGATGGGAAGCAAGAGGGAGAGAAAGAAGGAAAAGCAAGAAGAAACCATCAAGCTGGGCCTACTAGTGATAGCACAAGTTCATTCTAGTAGAGTACTCTAGATTTGAGTACAATAGCTTAGGCAAGCCACAGTGTGGAGATAATTCCAAACTCTGCCCTTGCCTCTGCCTTTGAAAGCATATTTAGCAGGTCTTCATGCTATGATTACCATGAAAATGGGTTTGCATTTATTAGGCAACCTTCAGAAGCTTGCTTAGGGCCAGGGGACTACTTTGCAATACAAATAAGCATTTTCTGTCCCTTAGCAGAATGCCCACGGTAGCCCCCCAAGTTAATGAAATGAAATGGGTTCCAGCAGGCCATTGCTAGGTTGAGCCTGTGCCACCAGCTCCCTCCCTGACCCATGTCTTGAGCACCTTCCTTGAACTACGCACCAACAGACAGCAGGGACTCACACCCACATGGCCCTGCTGTCTGGGTGCTCATGATCTAGTCTCCAGGTTCTGAGGCCTAAGACTGGGTCACAGGGACCAGGATGAGCAAGAGAGGAACAGAATGTGGGGGCCGGGGCAGCCCTGAGATCCTGGGCTTGACTACTACCCCTTGGGTACCCCCGCCTCCTTCAGATCCGCTACTGGAAAGCTGGGGACAAAGAAGCAGCTGCGGACCGAGTGAGGACAGCAGGGCTGGACACCAGTGCCCGAGTCAGCGGCCTGCATCCCAACACCAAGTACCATGTGACCGTGAGGGCCTACAACCGGGCTGGCACTGGGCCTGCCAGCCCTTCTGCCAACGCCACGACCATGAAGCCCCGTGAGTCTGTCTGCCTGGGGTGGGGGTAGGGCAATATTTTGGAGGGTGGGTGCCTCTGAGATCATTCCTTCCCCAATGATAAGACAAATGCTCTAGCCCACCAGCTCTGGGCTGAACAGAAATTAGGCAGCGAGCCTAATGGAAATAAGGGAATGGAATTCATGGCCCCTGAAGCGTCTCACACTTCTCCAACCTTTGGATTTTCATGGGCTTTGTTTCGTGGGCATGACAGAATGTGCTGGGTGTAACTGCTAGAGGCAAACATCCAGAGAAGGGCTGGTTAAAGGTGAGGGGGTGCGGGGTGCCAGGGAAACGTTTGGACATCTCTCCAATTCTTCCTCTCTGGCAGCTCCGCGGCGACCTCCTGGCAACATCTCCTGGACTTTCTCAAGCTCTAGTCTTAGCATTAAGTGGGACCCTGTGGTCCCTTTCCGAAATGAGTCTGCAGTCACCGGCTATAAGGTGAGGAAGCAATCAGCTAGGCCCAGAATGGGAAGGAACAGCTCCTCTGTGTTTCCAGTGAACATAAGCAGCAGCAATTTATAGCAAGAGGCATCTGAGTGAGACATAAGCAAAGGGTTTGTGACTGTGAGAGGAATGAAATTCATGAACTATTCTCTCAGTAACTTGCAGTAGAAACTATAAAAACGGGCAGATGGTATCACTGCAGAAAGGCAGAGTTCACAGGGGCAGTGATGGACTATGGGGATGGAGTATGGGGGTTCTTCTAGCTTAAGGAGTCTACGGAAACAGTTCAGTGGCCTGCAAGCTTTCCTCCACCAATGAGGAGCTTTGTCAATGGGGAGGAGGGGTGAGGAGGCTGGACCTCAAGAGCCCAGAACCATCGGGTCTCCTCCCAGTACCTAAAGCTGGGGATGACTCAACGATCAGCCCTGGTGTCAGGAAACTCCACCTGGAAACCTCCTTCCCACAGATGCTGTACCAGAATGACTTACACCTGACTCCCACGCTCCACCTCACCGGCAAGAACTGGATAGAAATCCCAGTGCCTGAAGACATTGGCCATGCCCTGGTACAAATTCGGACCACAGGGCCCGGAGGGGATGGGATCCCTGCAGAAGTCCACATCGTGAGGAATGGAGGTGCTGCTCCTCCCCTACCCTTATCCCCTCGAGAGATTCAGGATCCACCCAGATACCTGAGAGGATCATTCCCACCCAGGCCAACTCCAATCTCTACCCGCAAAGGAAAGTGGAAGGCAGGCAGGAACCAAGTGCAAAGTAGTCTTAGAACTGCCTCGCCGCCACCTTTCTACCCAGCCCCCAGAACATCCCCGAGGGCCAGGGAAGGGCGCAGGGTGCAGGGGGAGGCTGAGGACCAACCAGCAATAGCAAACGGCCTACAAAGCACCGTAGGAGTCGGACTGAGAAGACCACCCAGCCGTCCGCTCCCAGGCCTGCAGCTGGCCCTGTGAGTCTCCTTAGGAAAGGTCTCAATCTTGCCACAAGGGTGGGGCTAGGGTAGTCCCAGGCCCAGCTGACTCAGCTTGTGCTGGTTTCAGGCACAAGCATGATGGTGGAGAACATGGCAGTCCGCCCAGCACCACACCCTGGCACCGTCATTTCCCACTCCGTGGCGATGCTGATCCTCATAGGCTCCCTGGAGCTCTGATCCTGGAACCCCTCCCTCTGCGCCGCAGCTGGACGCCACCTCCGACGGACACAGCCAGCCCCTTCCTGCTGCCAAGGTGGCCTGACACTGTGCCAGAGAGTGGCTGGTTTTAAATACCTACTTTAAACAGTGCCCTTTTTGTAGGAGGTAGGATATTTTATATTCTGCCGCAGGATAGAACCCACGCAAGGATTTTCTTTAAATTGAGAGGCACCAGGCAGTAACTTCCATGATGACACTGACGCCTATACCTGAGCTCTAGGCTGCCTGGAGGGAAGGAACAGGCCCATGGGAAGAAGGGGGTTTTAAAAACATGTCTTCAACTCAGCAGAGATGGCCCTCTGGGACCCTATACGGACTCCGCCACTTGAGAGCAGTCCTAGGCCCGGCAGGAACACCAGACATGAACAGGTTGAAGAACTGGAGCGAAGTGCACACCTCACCATCCTTCAGTCTAAGGAAGAAGGGCAAGCCCTGGGACCAAGAGCTCTCCCGCCTTCTCCCTCGAGCAGCAGCAAGGACCCTGACGCTGTCCCCGATAACTCCCTAGGGGCTCCTGCCTGCCCAAGCGGCTGAGAACCAGCGCCCCGATGCCTGAGGCTGGGAGCCTGAGCCCCTTCAGCTTTGAGGGGGGTGATACTCCAGGCTGTTTGGGGTGGGAGCCAAAAAGAGTTGAGAGGCCAGGGCCCTTGGTGGAAAGGGGCACCAGCCTTGGTCTGAGATAGTCACAACCCAGGTGACGATGCCCTCTCAGCCAACACTGCCAACCTGACCCTGTCATCCCGATTGACAGCGCCACTTCAGGTGGCTGGGTGACTAAAGGGCTTGTCTTGGTGGGGTCTCCCACCCCTCCAAGACCCATTCTGCACAGTCCCTCCAGGGTTTGGGCAGGAGATGGCCAATCATGCGCCCACCTCTCCAGTGCTGCCTGCAGTCAGCTCGGCCTCCCCGACCTGCAGCCCCAGACTCTGCTCTCCCAGCACTGACTCACTCCTGCCTGGGAGGGGAATGCAGCATTCATGCTGTGTGTCCTGGTATTGGGAGGTTTCTGGGAAGGGCAGAGGATAAATGTGGCCCTGCCTGCTCCCAGGTATACCTAGGACCACCTGGCCAGATCCGCTCCCAGACGGCCTTGGACTGCTTGCATTTCCCCGGAGAAAAAGGGGTTAATAAATGGGCCATCCTTTCCTGAGCTCTGGGTATACTACCAGTCACAGAACGTCAGAGCTGGAAGAAGCCTTAGAGCTCAACTTCTTCAAGCCCCTCACTTTACAGATGAGGAAATGGAGGTGGTCCAGAGAGGGTCTGGGATTCCCAAGGTCACACAGCCCAGAAGAGATGGGGCTGGGTTAAGAACTCGAGTCTTCCACCTTTCTGTTCAAGGCTGTTTGTCTACCCAGAGGAAGGAGGCACTGCTGAATGGCTATGGCCTGGCTAAGAAGGTGATTAGTCAGTAGGGTGTGAAAATTCTACTTCAAGGGGTTCGGATTGGTGATCATGGGGATTGGCATGGCTGGGTTCCCGTCCAAGGTGTGGGCAGAGCTTCTACCAAACTTCAACATGGAGGGCTGACTTGAAGCTCCCTGTCCCCCTCACTCTTGCCCCAAGAAAAGAGGCCAAAGCAAGAGCAGATTCCCTAGGCAAGAGCAGCAGCACAACTAGGAAACCCCAAAGCCCATGCTCCGACAGGTGGCCCTTCACAGGGGGCAGCGGGACAGGCATCTTGAAGGGCATATGTCCTCGGAAGCTCCGAGCCTGTTTTCTGTAGTTTATAGTTAGAGCTCTATTTTGTTATGGTTTTTTAAACTTTTAAGTCCTGCTCTATTTTCCTGGGCAGGTTTATGTTGATGTTTACCCACTACAATTTTTTAAAAATATAAGCTCACATGCCTTTTCCCTGCCACAGCCAAACCCCCACTGCACCCTACCCACCCACCCCTAGCCCAGGTCAGCTTTCCTGGAGCTGGCTAATGAAAGCCTCCTCACCTCTTCCCAACCCTTACAAGCAAGGGTGCTAGGGGCTCAGCTATACGACCATTCTCCCTGACAGGGAGTCCAAACTTGGCCTAGCATCCCTCCTGGCCCCCCTCTGGCCACGACTTGGCCTGTGCCTGGTTCTCTATCAGAAAGGGGATGCTGAACAAAACCTCCTTCCAAGTTTTATCCAATTCGTTCCTCATTGCCTCGGGCTGCGTCAGGGGAAGCAGGGGACAGGTGTCCAGTTGCTGGGCCGAGGGAGGAGCTGGTTTGGCATAGGACCTAACCAGTGAAGCTAGAGGCTACAGCCACTAAACTTGCTTCAGGCCAACGATAGTTACTCACAAGTAAGTACCTTAATGCTAATGAGGTCCACTAAAAAGGGGAGGAAGGCAGACCTCCTGGGAGACCCACGAAGGGTTTTTAGCCAGGGAAAACTGAGCCCCAGGAAAACCTAACCACTGGGCAGGCAGAATTTGTTTGAGGGATAGAACGACAACAAAATAAATGTTCCTGCAGCCTGAGATTTCAGGTAGAGTACTGACTAAGGTTTAATAAGACAATAGGTGACCTGAGGACATGCAAGCTTGTAAAATGCAACAGCCTCCTGCTAGAGTGACTTGTACATGAGCTTGCTTGCAGAAGACTAGATTAGATGTTTCTCAGGATCCCCTCCTGCGCAGGGGTTCTCTGATTTTCGTGTTCTCTGCCCAGATGGGCTGGGGGAGTTGAGAGTGTGCTTATTTTCACTGCGATCATGAGACCACAGTTCTGGGTTATCTCCTCTCATACATCAAGCCCCAGAGGAGGCGGCAAGAGGAACAGCCACAAACAAGTACTTTACCCCACAGCTTAGTGGCCAGTAAACACCCTGGGGACTAGGAAAAGGAACCAACTGTAGGCACCTCTCCAGGGCCTAGGGAGACAAGTGTCCTCTCTTCTGCATACATTTGGGCTCCCCTTACAGAGCCCTTTGCCCTGGCTCTCTGGTCCTTGTTGCTCTAACAGTCCAGATGTACACCCAGCCTCAGGGGGAAGGCAGCTCTCTCCAGACAGAGTCTCAGGGCCCAGCAAGGTCAGGTTATCTGCTTTCATTCAGGGCAACAAATGATACAAATGGTGCCAGGGAGTGGCAAGGCCATGGGGGTAGGTGGGGGTGTCTTTTTCTTTTCATAAAGTAACAACAGACGAGACTGAGGTTAAACATCAGAAAAAAACCTCTGGAATGACCTTCCTCATTCCAGGAGGCCCTGGAATAAGGAAGAGGCTTCTTTCTGAGGGAGCTTTGAGGAATTTTGACAGCTGTTGACATGGGATTTGGGAAAGGTGAAGCTGTGACTGGAGGGGCAGGAGATGGTCCAAGTGTCCATCCAGAGATGAGACTCTTAGAATCAAAGTGTTCAGCCCAGGAAGTCTTGGAGATCCCACCTTCTGTGGCCCTGCACCTTATGGGAAGCCATTAAGGGGGCTCATCTAGGAATTCTGGTTACAGCCCAGTGCTCATCCCAGCGTATGCTGCCTCTTTAGGGCAGCCCCAAGGGCCAGCCAGCCTGTACTCTGGGCAAGAGCCCAAAATGGCTAGGAATGTTTGACTCCCTTAATCTCTTCCCCAGCTACAGAGGAATCTTTTCTCTGCCTGGTCTCAGAATGGGACTGCCAACTGGCTCATTGGTGGGAGACACAGTATCCTCAAACCTGTGGCCACTGGCATGACAGTGGTGCTCTGTCTCCCTGGGTGACACCCACCCTAGGCTTCCTCCTGGATGTGATGGGGATTGCCAGAGAGGCTCTTAGCATAAAAGGCATTAGGTGGGCATTTTTCTGTGTGCCCCCAAAAAGCTCCATGGAAACAGGCACCTGGTAGCTGCGGAACACCCGTGGACTTGTGTATATGGTCATAGGCTTTGGGAAGACAGGACGTAAAGGAAAATGAGAGAAACAAAATGGGTCAGATAGCTTTGGCCACAGCCCCAGGCAGCCTTTGGGGCCTATGACACTTAGTGCCCTTAGATGGGATACATCTTGCCTCGGCCCCAAGACTCCTCCAACTTACCCGTCCCATCCAGGGCCTGCACAGCTTAGAGAGGCTCACAGCTTGGCAAATGCTAGGGCTTCATCAGACCACTGACTTGACTCAGTGTTTGTTAAAATGGAACCACTCCCGTTGGCCTACTGTTTCTCTCCTGTACTTCTTGTAATGATAGTTATTTATTGACTCTGGTAGCAGGCAGTTCTTAAATAAAGATGGTTTCTCAACCTGTTGGGGAAGCTGGCACGAGCTGTGGGTGTTATCATCAGGCTAAAGCATACCTCCTTGTCCTGTTCTTCACTCCAGAGGCTTTTATCCAAGAATTTCTTTACCCCCCACACAGTGAAATATAAGTAAGTTACAACATACAGTCTATATTGCTTCATCCAGTCCCAGGAGGAGGGAAAAATTAGGCCAAGATCTTAAGGCAGGTCCAAGCAGAGCACAGGCAGGCATTTGGCTAGAATCAGTTGGCTTTACCTAATACAGTGGCAGTAAACAATGCTTATGTGATGGTACTGCTTCAAGGTGGCCTGATTTTTAAGACATCTTTGAGGTGTTGACTCAGTGGTCCCAAAGGAAAGTCTCCCTGCAGATATATTAATGATACCCAACTGGTGAGAACGAGGCTGCTGCCTCTACTCTTGGTTCACAGCAGCCACAAGGGTGTGAATTACTAGTCACTTTCCAGCCACACTTTCTCACACATTCGATAACCATTTATCAAACTTTTTTTTTTTTGAGACAGAGTTTCGCTCTTGTCGCCCAGGCTGGAGTGCAATGGCATAATCTCAGCTCGCTGCAACCTCTACCTCCTGGGTTCAAGCGATTCTCCTGCTTCAGCCTCCTGAGTAGCTGGGATTATAGGCACCTGCCACCACAACTGGCTAATTTTTGTATTTTCTAGTAGAGACAGGGTTTCACCATGTTGGCCAAGCTGGTCTCCAACTCCTGACCTCAGGTGATCCACCCACTTCGGCCTCCCAAAGTGCTGGGATTATGGGCATGAGCCACGTGCCCGGCCTATCAAACTTTTATTACAGATGAAAATGTGTGTGGAGATACACTTGCACGACTCTGTGTTTTGAGTCTTTTAGTGCAAAGCAGGTAGGGCTCCATGCTGACTACGCCCCCAGCTTTTTTCAGCGAAGAGGGAGATGGTGAATGGAGGCCTGAATACTCATTAGCTGTGTGCCTGGAAGCCCAGGCTGACAACAAGCCTCCGGAAGGGGCCTGTACGGACACCAGTATGATATCACAAAACGGTCATCTCTTCCACTTTGCCCCCAAAGGGGATGTGGGAACACCAGCCACTCTAAAACCCAAATATTAGTCCAGTCAGCATCCCCTTGACCCTGCAAAGGTAGATTACCTGCACAGACTTCAACAGGTTTTGCTTTACTAACACAACTGAGCATCTTTTGTTCTCTTCTCTGCTCAATCCCTTCACATCCTTGGAGTCAAAACTCAAGAGCCCAATGCATAGAGGGTTATAATGCCAGAACTGTGCAATAGTCCATCCCATGCTTGACTACTGGCTGCAACAGAAGACTGCAAAAGTTACTCAGTCTCTCCATCTGGAAAATGGGACATAGTACCCATCAGTCTTCCTCCCTCCTCAGCAATGTCATGTTGAGTTCATTAAAGTAGGATATTTTATGGTCTTCTAGTGTCAAGACTGCTTGCTTAAAGTACAGCAAGCTATCTCCTGAATGTCTCAGCAAGTTGTCCCGTACTGAATGCTTCATCAATAATATTCCTGAACTCATGTCCCGTACTTCAGTTTACCTCACAGGATCTCACTGGATCCTCACAATCACCTATTTCAAAGATGATGTCAGGTAGCTTGCCCCATTACACCATCAACAGCAGAACAAGGCCCAGAACCCAGGTCTTCTGAAATCTATCCCCTCTGAAGTAAACAGAATGGGGGTAAGGGTACGTGTAAAATGTAAGATCTTTTTTAAAATAAGAGCAACAGTAAAATGACTCCCTATGCCTGGGCCTCAGTCAGTGGTTCTCAACCTTAGCCATATATCAGAACCACCTAACAACCTTAAACAACAAAGATGCTCTGAACTCATGATATACATCTAGGACACTGAGACAGCCTAGGAGCAATGACTCCCCAGTAGCAATGAGCACACCCAACATGCAAACCTTGGTTTCTCAATGCTACTCCCCACACTAAGAGGAACCAGGGTTCCTTGGGGAAAGACCAGATTCAGGTTTGGGGCAAGGAGAGTCCAAATGTGAATCTGAGATACCGTGTTGTACTAGAAGCAAGAAAATGCTCAATGTCAAATAAAACCACAGCAAAAGGGCAAAAGAGCTTGCCTGAGGGGACTCCTACTGGCCAAAATTGGGGACAATTTGAACATCAAGATAATGATCATTTGTACACCAAACCCCCATGACATGCAATTTACCTATGCAACAATCCTGCACATGTACCCCTAAACCTAAAAAGTTAAAAAAAAGATAAAATGATAATGGATTATATATAGCTCACTGAATAAGAAGAATCTATTGAGACCTCAAAAATAAAGAGGGTAAAAAGAGTAAGCTCTTCTTTACAGAGAAATGCAGGCTAATATAGGTAAGATGAACATAAAGAATTGCCAGTTTGCAGTCCCCAACATGTAATGTTCAACAAGGCAAAAACAATGGATGCCAAAATATGTGAAGAGTTTTTGGAGAGCCATATAATCATAAAGTATTACCCCACAGACTATGAATTACAAAGGGGAAAATACACACACACACACACACACACACACACACACACACATTGGTGGTGAGATCTGGCCATCCACCACCTTAACCAAATGATCAAGCTTATTATCAATAGTGGGTCAACCTTGGCTGGGCGCGGTGGCTCACGCTTGTAATCCCAACATTTTGACAGGCCGAGGTGGGCGGATCACCTGAGGTCAAGAGTTTGAGACCAGCCTGGCCAACATGGTGAAACCCCATCTATAGGCGTGGTGGCACATGCCTATAGTCCCAGCTACTCAGGAGGCTGAGGCATCAGAATCACTTGAACCCGGGAGGCAGAGGTTACAGTGAGCCGAGATTGCACCACTGCACTCTAGTCTGGATGATACAGTAAGACTCCATCTCAAAAAACAAAAACATAAACAAAAACATGAGCCTTGTAATGTGGTGCAGTTAAGTACATATCTACATAGGGCTCTTGTCAAAAATGTTTAAGATTCATTCCTCATGAATCTACTCATGAGGAAATGGCAAATACAAATTATGGAATCTTATCTAAGACAACTGGAGTAAATTATTCAACGAAATCAATGTCATGAAAGACAAAGGAATGCAGGAGGTCTGTTGTAAAAGAAGATACTTAAGAGAAACATAACACATGAACTTCTATTTGATCCTGGATCAAAAATGAAATTAAAAAGCTGTTAAGATTTTGGATATTGAGAAGTGAATACAGGCTGAGTATCCCTTATCCAAAATGTTTGGGACCAGACATGTTCCAGATTTCAGACTTTTTCAGATTTTGGCATCTTTGCATTATACTTATAGGTTAAGCATCCCAAATCCAAGAAATCCGAAATCTAAGCTCTTCCAATAAGCATTTCCTTTGAGCACCATGTTGGTACTCAAAAAGTTTCAAGTTTTGGAGCATTACAGATTTCAGGTTTTCATACTTGGGATGCTCAACTTGTATAAACTATATAAGATTAAGAAATTGTTAAATTTTGGCCAGGTCCAGTGGTTCACACCTGTAATCCCAGCACTTTGGGAGGCCGAGGCAGGTGGATCATCTGAGGTCAGGAGTTTGACCAGGCTGGCCAACATGGCGAAACCCCGTCTCTACTAAAAATACAAAAAAATTAGCCAGGCATGGTGGCAGGCACCTGTAATCCCAGCTACTCAGGAGGCTGAGGCAGGAAAATCACTTGAACCTAGGAGGCAGAGGTTACAGTGAGCTGAGATCACACCATTGCACTCCAGCCTGGGCTACAAGAACAAAACTCCGTCTCAAAAAAAAAAAAGAAAAGAAAGAAATTGTTAATTTTTTGTTGTTGTTTTTGAGACAGAGTCTTGCACTGTCGCCCAGGCTGGAGTGCAGTGGCGCAATCTCAGCTCACTGCAAGCTCCGCCTCCTGGGTTCACACTATTCTCCTGCCTCAGCCTCCCGAGTAGCTGGGACTACAGGCGCCCGCTACCACACCAGGCTGATTTTTGGTACTTTCAGTAGAGACGGGGTTTCACCGTGTTAGCCGGGATGGTCTCGATCTCCTGACTTCGTGATCTGCCCGCCTCGTCCTCCCAAAGTGCTGGGATTACAGGCGTGAGCCACCGCGCCTGGCCAGAAATTGTTAATTTTCTTAGTGTGATAAAGATATTGTGGTTACAGAGAACATCCTTATTAGGAGATGCATACATGGTTTAAGAGTTAAGAGTTGCAATGTCTGTGACTAGCTTTCAAATGGTTTAACAAAATCAATCTATATTGAGAAAGATAATTGTGACAAAATGTTAATTCCTGGTGAATTTTGGTAAAGGTTCTATGCATGGTCACCAAACATTTCTTTCAGCTTTTCTATGGGTTTGAAATTTTTACAAGTTAAAAGTAAAATAAATAATAGAGATCCTTTGACCATAATTTAAACTGAATTAGCATTGTCAGGATTAGAGCTCAAGAACCTTTATTTTTCACAAGGTCATCCAGATGATTCTAACACACATCTAGAGAATCGCTGGTCTTTGGTTTCTGCTACCTCCTGTAGTCAGAGAAAAGTGAGAGGAAGAAATGTTGTAATTCTCTCAGTAGAATTAGCTCAGCTGGTGGCCAAGAGTCTTTCCCTGATGGTTCCACAAGCCAATTATCTCAGACACGGTCCGAATGGCCTCGGAGTCTTAAGACTGGATTTCCTATGGAGGAATCAAAGTACTAATCCTCCTTTGGGGGCCTTGGCTGCTGTAAGAAACCAATACTTGACCCTCCCAGGAATAGAAGCTTCAGGGCACTGAAAGAGCTAAAAGGACTGGAGTGGAGGCAAGCCAAGGTGCTGTCTGAATGGTAAGAGGAAACCTACCAGGTGAAGGATCTAGTGTTTTGCCAAGAAATTCAATTTAATACCAAACAGGGGATTTACCTGGGCAGAACAGGCAATTTGTTAATATTTAGTGACTGTTACACACCTGAGTTGGATGTCATTACTAACAACCCCTGCCATAGGCTTATGCACTGCACCCCCTGCCCCCAAAAGCAGACAATTGGTTTAATGTCTATTCTAAGAAACCTGAGGAAAATGAAGCCAGACTGATTATGGGACAATTTAAATAAATACAAGAAACTGAAGAGCAGAAAAAGGTCTCCATACAGCTACTGTGAATTACTTTTATTGAAAAAAAATGTTCACTAAAAAGGCTGAATACATCCCTCTACATGAATACACAGCTCAGAAGAGGGGAAATGGAGGTGGGGAGGCATCCAAGTCATAAAGGGTAGAAAATGAATGCAAGCTTCTTAGAACTCTTCCCAGGAACACAGGCAATGCTTGCAGTTTCCTGGGTACCCAATGGGCAGGGAAGATCAGGAAGAGATCCATGGGACATAAGGAAGTTAGGTTACTGCGCATAGCTCCCAGGAGATTGTCCCCTCCATTTCTCCCACTCATTCTTTTGGCTGTGGGAGTGTTCCCTCTAAGCTGATCCACTACCAGCAGCTGGAACACTCCCCTAAAAAGCTAGCTTGGCTTCCTGGGCAGCCAGTTCTTCAGGAGCAAGGCTGTTAAGTTCTTGAAGCTGTCACTGCTGCAGGCCCCCCCTTAGCGCACAGAGGACAATCCTCACCAACACGCCACCAACCACTCCAATGGCAATTCCTATTCCCAAGGCTGACGCCACCTTCTTTTTCCACTTTGGGTGGTGAGGCTTGGAGTAGCTGTCCAGATTAACTTCCAATCCCTCATCTATTAACTTCTGATCCTCAGTAAGTGACTGATGGAAATTCAGATTCACCAAGTTAGGAGGAAGGACCCTCAACCCAAAATAGAGCCTCTTGACGAGTCTCAAGTTTTTTACCAGCTGCACATCACAGCGATATGTCCCAGAGTCATACTCCTGAGCATATTTAAACTTCACAAAGTGGGAGTTGGCTTGAAAGGGTTTGAAGACCTCATCGTCAGTGGAGATGACACCTCGAGCAAGTCTCCAGGTGAACCGGAAAGCTTCCTGTCCAAACTCCAAGATGTCTGAACTCAGACAGCTAAGCTCAAATTCCTTGCCAATGAGAATGGTGAAATGGAGCATCCCACAGATCCAGTTGGTCAGACATTCTAAGCGCCGAGTCTGACATTTCCTTCTCACTCCATCAGGGCCCACCTCACAGACGGTCTCCTCCTTATAGCCAAGGCCACAGGTGACAGTACAGGTTGTGGCATTGATGATAACTTTCCCCACAGCTTCTTGCAGCTTCTCAGGGATGGCCAGTGTTTTAGGTGTAGTCACCACCAAAGGCAGGTAGAAGGCCAACCCCAGGCTCCCAAGGACAAAACTAGTGGCTAAAACCTTCATGTCTCGGTAGGCGTTTTGCCACCCTCAGCCAGCACCCACAAGGTATTCCAGCTGAATCCTCTATAAATCATAACTTGATTCCTTTGACATGAGATATCCTTCAAAGTCAAAAGATATGATGCATGTATTGTCAATAAAACAACACAACTTAATAAATAAAAGTCCAGTCCTTATAAACAGGTGAGGCCACAAGGCAGGAAAAAAATCACAATGGTGTTGCTTTACTAACTATCGTTGTTAATAAAATAACCACCTTACCTACTAGTCTTCACGCTTTTTTTTTTTTTTTTTTTTTTTGAGGCAGGGCCTCACTGTCAACCCAGGCTGGAGTGCAGTAACATGATCACAGCTCACTGCAGCCTCAACCTCCTAGGCTCAAGTGATCCTGCCACCTCAGCCTCCTAGGTAGCTGGGACTACAGGTGCAGGCTATCACACCTGGCTAATTTTTCTATTTTTTGTAGATACGGGGTTTCACCATGTTGTCGAGGCTTGTCTCCAACTCCTGGGTTCAAGCAATTCACCCACCTCAGCCCCCCAAAGTGCTGGGATTACAGGCATGAGCCACCGCGCTGGCCGTTTTCGTGTTCTCTTAATGACTTTAAATCCACCTCTTGGGAAGACAAAGAAGAAAAGACTTCAGAAACTGAAGTAAATTTCCAGATTACCTCAAATGCATAGTGAAGTTACACTCTTCCTCACCCTTCCCCTTCCCCTCTATAAACTAGGATCTAAATTAAGGGTTTCAAAAGCCCCAGTTAAATGTCACCAAATAAAACAAATACTAAAGTCTAAAAAAAGGAAGATTAACTTGAATTATTTTAATGTTCCTAAACTTCCTATAAAAAGGATTAAGAACTCTGGACTAGGAGGCAAGTAACTTACCCTTCCTGAATTTCTGTTTCCTCCTTTGTAACTTAAGACCTCCTTGCCTATCTGAGGAAGGTCACTTAGAGCACTGAATGATATACTGTATGTGAGAACACTTTGTAAAGTGTGAAACACTGTTCAATGTGTAAGGAATTTTAAATAGAAATGGAAATTCATAAAGACAAGGGCCAAGATGACCTTTTCAAATCAGAATGTTTAAGGTTGTGTTAAAGGCAGCTCCTCTCCCCCTTTTAGGCACTCTTCCTTCCCAAGGATACTGAAGATATATTTTGAGTGAGAGGATGCATGATGCTCCCTGACTCTTGGCCTACTCCCTTTATCCTACAGAATAGAGCTCATTATTCACGTAGGTCAAGGTTGCTATGAAACAGCTATGATGTCAAAGATGGAGTTCTCAATCACATAAGATTAATAAGTAGACCCTCAAATTTGACATTAAAATCAAAGACTTACATAGACTTTGTGAAACATCTTATCTTTAGGAGACAACGAGCATTTAATAAATTTTAAAGCTGCTTCATTCAAAAAAAAAAAAAGGCTAATAAGAATTCAACCGTACTTACTTAGACTTGAAGAAAGGTCCTTGGAAGACAGGAACTTCCTAGCATGCATTTTTGTAACCTCCAGAATGCCTAGCCCTACGGCCTCTTCAGAGTAATTGCAAAACTATATTGAGTTAAATAATTGGAAGACAGATCATTCCTAGATGATCTTTTTGATCAACAACTTTTCCACTTGCATCATTTATTTACAATCTCATCTAGAGGCAGAAATCTAGACTACCTGTCCACTCCCTACCCCTTCCAGATCTATCTTTCCACACTGAAAGATCTAGTATCAACACAGGAAATCACACTTTCCTTTGTACTAAAGCAAAGTGGCCAGAGAGTTCCAGAAGTGAGCAGTGTTTACAAATAAACATCTACACCTGTTCTTTAATAAACATCCGATTTTATTTACAAAGCATTAAAGCTTCAGCAAGAAGTACCCAAGGCTAAGTCTCATCTTGTACAAAACTACAGATTTTTTTTTTTTTTTTTTTTTGAGATGGAGTCTTGCTCTGTCACCCAGGCTGGAGTGCAGTGGCGCAATCTCAGCTCACTGCAACCTCTGCCTCCTGGATTCAAGCAATTCTCCTGCCTCAGCCTCCCGAGTAGCTAGGATTACAGGTGCCCGCCACCACGCCCAGCTAATTTTTGTATTTTTAGTAGAGACGGGGTTTCACCATGTTGACCAGGCTGGTCTCAAACACCTGACCTCAGATGATCCACCAGCCTCGGCCTCCCCAAGTGCTGGGATTACAGGTGTGAGCCACCATGCCCAGCCCAGAATATTTTTAAAAACAAAATTTTGGGGGTGGCAGGGCAGGGATGACAAAAAGGAAGAAGAGAATATACATATATTGTACAAATCAAATAATTCAAATTGAAATGGATAGAAGGTTTTTTAAAAGTTGAAAAAAAAATTCCAAAAACATAAATAATTATTAGGAGCTACTGCCAGAGACAATCTGACAGGGCTGAAGATGATTTTCTCAGTAGCCAGTTTAGGAGGTGGACATAGCACAAACATCCAAATGCACAGGCAGAGGAAACCAAGCTACTTCACACGTGGAAAGATGGCAGAAACCCTCTAAGTCCCATAGTTTGCACACTGCTGCAGTGTACAGTGCAGAGGACTGGAATGGATATAATGTCTGCAAAACAAAAACATGTCTAGTGAGCCATCTACTAATCTCAACCACTGGTCTAACTCATGACAGTCTCAAAATGAATATTTAAGAAAAAAGTAGTGGCATCTAAAAATATAGACGTTTTGCAACTGACTCAGGGAGAGCTCTTTCTTCAACTACTGAATATACTGGTTTTAAATGATGGAGTGAGACAAAGAGGCTCTTGCTGACGTGCTCTACTTTGATTTCTATCCTAAAATCTAACAGGTAATCAATGTGTTTGGCTACCTATAGGAGCATCCACCAACTGATATCATTTTTTTTTTTTTTTTGAGATAGAGTCTCATTCTGTCACCTAGGCTGGAGGGCAGTGGTGCGATCTCCACTCACTGCAACCTCTGCCTCCCACGTTCAAGTGATTCTCCTGACTCAGCCTCCAGTGTAGCTGGGATTACAGGCATGTACTACCACGCCCAGCTAATTTTTGTCTTTTAATAGATACAGGCTTTCACCACGTTGGCCAGGCTGGTCTTGAACTCCTGACCTCGGGTGATCAACCCGCCTTGGCCTCCCAAAGTGCTGGGATTACAGGCGTGACCCACCACGCCCGGCTCACCAACTGATATATTTCACAGTAAGCACAGTATTTAAATTCTCCTTTTAAAATATTGAAAAAAAAAAAAAAAAAAAAAAGACGATCCAGATTAAGCACTTCCAGTCAGCTAAAAACGCCACTCAGAGAAGCTACTGAGCCCTTTTCACACCTGGTTTCCTAATGGGATTTTCAGAGAATTTCAAACACCAAATGTACACATCTATCCAATCTGTTATTTTTATAAAGAACAACAAATGTCAAAAAAAAAGCTAAGCAACCTTTCACAGAAAGGAAGTGACTGAAAACACAGTAAGAAAAAGGAGCACAGGTATAGGCAGGGAAAAATGCAATGACTGATGAGGATAGATTTCCACAGGCAGTGATACAAAAAATTCACCTTGATCTTTGATTTGAACTATGTGGTTGCTGCTTTGATTCTGGATGGTTTTACTTTACTCCTTGCATAGATTCCCCCACCCCAGTAAAAAAGTAGCTTGTTGAGAGACACCTGGGTTTGTTTCCATCTCTGGAAGCCAGCACAGGTAAAGCAATATAAACTATTGATGATTCTTTGCTGGAGATGGATAAAACTAGCTATCTTCAAAAACCATGATTGATGACAATGAACCAATATTGGAGGGAAACATGCAATGAGAGGAAAACAAGGGAAAACCCTGAATTGTTACAGCCCAGCTTCTTGAGCAAAACGTGGTATGAGAGGAAGAGAGGGCCTTCGTTGTTCCCTTTCTGAAAATTTGAAATCTTTCAAGCACTTTCTTTTCTGCCCATCCTTTGCACACAATATGGAAATATAGGAGGTATCTGGGGAGAGGAGAAGTTTAAAATGAGAGTATCCAACAAAAGCTTTCCTAGGATACCAGTAGCAAAATTTCAGATAAGAAGTCACTCAAAGACATGCATTGAGGACCGAAGGCAAATGGGAGATAGGAAATGACATGTCAAAATGACGCTGGGTACAATGAAGTTAGATGAGCAAAACATAAGTATCTTTTCTCCAGCAACATAACTAAGCATCAAAGTTTAAATGAGTCAAAATTCCTATCTGATGTCTTCACAAATCTTCATTCCTGAGAGTCTATTTGGACTTATGCTTGAAAGGGAAGGGAAGGTCGTATACTCTTCTTCCATAATTCACTTCTTCATTTAAACATAAAATTCACCCTCCCACCTCCTGGGTGGGAGGCACAGGCCTTTGTTTTAAATTAAAGTCAATTTTCAAATGACTGACCACAGTGTCCAGAGGCCACATGATGGCAAAGTGAGAAAGAATGAAGAACTTCGAAGGTCTTCATAACAGTTCTGAGATTGCTCCTCCTGCTAAAGAGATTAGACACAAAAAGATTTCTTTTAGCTTCAATTTAGACCAGTTACTTGTAAGAACAGAAATACTGAATGCTGGATGATGCATTACAAGCACACGTGGACCAAGAAATTCCCCTTTTTAAGAAAATACATAACCAACTCCAACTCCCAATTACTCTTTATTGAACAAAAAACAATCCAAATCCAAACCCCCCACCCCAATACTTTCCTCAGTACTGTCCCAAAGGGTTGGGGGAAAAGCAAAATGATCAGAGTTCTATTTTTTCTAAGCTGCTAACCATGCTCTAAGGTGCTAACAAATAATGTTTAACATTCCAAAAAGTGCAATGAGGAGAGGAGAAGAAATTTTAGGGTACCACACCTTTCAACCCTTCATATATTTTAAAGATTGATTAGTCACTAAATGATTAACAAGTGAGCAAGAAACCCTTTTCCCAGCACCACAGTTCCTTAAGTGACATACTTATCACCTTAGAATCCCAAATATGGTGAAATGTTCGTGAGAGCTACTGTCTACATTGCTATACACCAACAATGATCGATAAATAATATCCTGAATAGTACAATGAAATGAACACTTCCCTGATTATTCCATAGAAGCTGCTCAACCTCTGAGAGACATCGTTAAATGAGCTGCTGTGAAATATTAACTAGGAAGTGTAAAAAGAGAAGAAGGTGAAGAAAATCCTCCCAGGTGTCATTTGGAATGGCAGAGAGCATGCCACTTGAAGGTATAATGGTTAAAAAATAATCGCCCAAACTATGAAAGAAAAGTACCCATTTATATAACTTTGATTTTTGAAGTTCCTGCACAAATGAAAACTGGCAATAAAAATATATTCACATGTGCCTGAGAACAGACTAAAGTTACAATGAGATACAAACTTTCTACTGAATGTTATGCTGTTAAAAATCAAATTTAAACTTTTCCATAGTTCAGTCAGATTAAAAGCTTACTTAGCAATGGTTTTTCAGATCTCTCTCAACATAAATCACAATGAATTCCTTGCATTGATTTTTTATTTATTTTATTTATTTTTATTTTTTTAGACAGAGTTTCACTCTTGTTGCCCAGGCTGGATTGCAATGGCGTGATCTCAGCTCACTGCAACCTCCGCCTCCTGGGTTCAAACGATTCTCCTGCCTCAACCTCCTAAGTAGCTGGGATTATAGGCGCCCACCACCATGCCTGGCTAATTGTTTTGTATTTTTAATAGAGACGGGGTTTCACCATGTTGGCCAGACTGGGCTTGAACTCCTGTCCTCGAGTGATCCACCCGCCTCGGACTCCCAAAGTGCTGGGATTACAAGCGTGAGCCACTGTGCCCAGCTACATTGATTTTTAAAAAACTTCCTGTGATAGAAAAATCCACTCCACAAGACTCAATATCATGCCTTACCACTTTAAGGCAATTTTCACCAACTATTCCCACAGGTACCCTGACCAATTTAGTGGTAATCATCTAAAAATGAATACAACATTGCCATTTTAAACCTAAATCATAATAGGAGAAAGTGGCTTGATCACTAATCAACAGCATTAGTAATAGGCACTCAAGATGACTAATGAGCTACCTTATACTGGAGGGCAGCTCATGTTTCTATACCGTCCTTGTTTTTCTGAATAGACAAAATAAATAAATAAAAGTCAAACAAAACAAAAGCTTGTTGAGGCATCAGGCAACAAATCAAAACCAGAGCAAGCAGTACTATGAGCAAGATAAGATACACAGAACTAGCAATATAGAAGACTCCAGCCAATTTAAAGACCTGACGCAGCAACTGCCCCCAAGGAAACATATTATTTAGCTACAACATAAAGGAAATCTCCAGTAATGTAACAGGTAGGAAAATTCAGCTCAAAATGACCAGCTATTATTGGTACTTTCCAGTAGCAGCCCAATCTAGGTTGGCCTAAGAGAACACTGAATCATGATTTCAAACCCTACCTTAGTTAGTTAATAACATCCCACAGAGTGAGAAAGACTACCTTGATTCTAGCAGGAATTCATAAATTAGTCTTCACAAGGAAAGGAAGGAAAAGAAGGAAAGGAGGGAGGGAGGGGAGAGAAAAACAAAGAGAGAAAAAAAGAAAACAAAACTACCAAGCATTAAAAAAAAAAAAATCACAGATTCAGTAAGTGACTTGGAGGTGGTTCAGAGCCTTAGGGTGATGGGCTGGCACCAGGGCAGTGGTGTAGCGCAGCCCAAGACAGGGAAATCTGCATGGTGCCTGTCCACTCCCAGAAATGTCGCTTCTGCTCACTTTGGCCCTTGCCATCTCCAACAGACCCAGGTGTGCACCAACCCCTTCATGTCTACCATCCCATGAGGCCTTTAGAACGTGTATGTAACCGACCACACCTTTGTCCCACTTTATTACTGATGTTTTTACTGCCAAGGAGCCCTAGCTCTTGGGCAATCCTTGAGCAATCACAGACAACTAGGACTGGTGATTCTGCTCACATCTCAAGTTTCTGGTCTCAGGACTGTCCTCTGGAGAGTATTTAAAGTAACTAAGAAGCATTTGATAGATAGCGCAGACTATGTTAGCCTGGTCCTTCCCAAAAGTCCCAAGCTCAGGGTTACCCTCACCAAGCTTCACTTTGGGTCCTCATTCACATAGAAAAATGTCCACATGAATGTGGGCCCTCTAGTGCTAGCCAACACTGACAAGCTGTTTGACAGGAAACAATTTTCTATAGCCCCAGATTCCAGATGGCCAGATTATCTCTATAGTGGTCTCTCTGCCAATTTTCCCTTGAAATGCATACTCTCCTGTTGCAACAGACAACAGACTATGGTAGTTTTGTTAGGGCTAATCAGTTTATGGAACAGTTTCTACAGTAACTGGTCAACTACAGATATTAACAAACAGTTGTCATTCATCTAACTTGGGTAGTAACACAGCCTACAACTATAATCCTACCTTCAAATGATTTGACTCAAATGCTGAAGTTGTCCATGGGGCAGGGGGCCAAAACCTTGAATCTACACATACAACCCTCAGACCGGAGTGATTTTTGAAGATGGTTTGGCCTCAGAAGTTTTGCATCAGGTTTCCTTTCTTAATACCTGGTGGAAAATCTACAATAACTATATATTGGCTTTTACTGAAAATCTCCAAGGTGTGGAAGAATATGAGATCCAAATGCCAGAGTTTCCCTGAGTGGTCTTGATGGGCCATATGCAAATCAGCAGCAGGTACCAGTCTGACTTAGCTTGCTCAGAGCCCTCCAAGACGACCACGTTACTGGATAAAGCCCTACCCTCACCCAAACAATCCCATATAAAAACATGATAGGTTGCCCTAAAACAGACTTTTGATGGAATTATCTGTGATATCCAATTTCATCACTCTCCCCAAAATTTTCAACCTTCACAAAGATCCAAACCACTCTGCAGCTGGTCAATAAAGCCAGATGTAATCCTTCTGTGGAAGTCTTGGAACTATACCTCAATGCCCCTTTGAGGTTTTTGGGTTGTTTTTTAATTATTTTTTTCTTTTGTAGAGACAGGGTCTCACTATGTTGCCCAGGCTTGTCTCGAATTCCTGGGCTCAAGCAATCTGACCGCCTCAGCCTCCCCAAGTGCTGGGATTACAGGTGTGAGCCATTGCACCTGGCTGGTTTTATTTTTGTTTGAGACAGGGTCTCACTCTGTTACCCAGGCTGGAGTGCAACGGCGTGATCATAGCTCACTGCAATATCAAACTCCTGGGCTCAAGCGATCCTCCTGCCTCAGCTTCCTATGTTACCAGGTGGACCACAGATGTGCACCACCACGCCTGGCTAATTTTTTGATTATTTTGTTTCCCAGGCTGGTCTCAAACTCCTGGGCTCAAGCAATCCTCCTGTCTTGGCCTCTCAAAGTGCTGGGATTATAGGCATGAGCCACTGCACCCAGCTCAAGGTTTTTTCTTGTTTGTTTGATTGGCTTTTACATAGATGGGGTCTCACCATGTTGCCCAGGCTGGTCTTGAACTCCTGGGCTCAAGAAATCCTTCTGCCTCAACCTCCCAAAGTGCTAGAATTACAGGCGTGAGCCTTATTTACCATAATTTCCTTTTGAAAAGCACATGATTAGGGATAGACACGTTTTAAGAAGCTAGGAGATTATGTCCTAAAGTGTTTTAATTAATTATGTTTGGCCACATTTTAAATCACCCTTAAAATATTTTAGCTCTCCAGGCCAGGGAAATCTATTTAAACTTTAAATTGCGTTTCTTCTGTAGTGGCATCAGTGTGTGCAAGAAGTGGGTTTGGAAGGATTGCTCTTATTTACATCTAGTCATTCTGCAATCTTTGTTGGCAATGCCCACGACTGCTCCAGGCTACTTTACAATATATACAAACATGCCGGGCGTGATAGCTCACACCTGTAATCCCAGTACTCTGGGAAGCTGAGGTGGGTGGATCACTTGAGGTCAGGAGTTCAAGATCAGCCTGACCAACATAGTGAAACCCCGTCTCTACTAAAAAAACACAAAATTAGCCAAGCATGGTGGTGCACGCCTGTAATCCCAGCTACTCAGGAAGCTAGGCAAGAGAATCACTTGAACCAGGAGGCAGAGGTTGCAGTGAGCTGAGATCGCACCACTGCAATTCAGCCTGGGGACAAGAGTGAAACTCCGTTTCAAAAAAAAAAAAAAAAAAAAAATATATATATATATATATATATATATATATATATATATATATATATATATATATACACACACACACACACACACACACACACACACACACAGCATTATATGTATATATACACAAACACAGCCTTAGGTGGGTTGAATGTGGACGTGGTAACCATCAGTGCACCACCATAAATGTTGTCGGGAAAAAAATATTGGTACTCAGTGGTATGGTGTTGGGCTATCAAAAACTAAAGTCTAAATCTAGTAAACTCGAGATGGAATACTCAAAATGATGAATAACTGTCTATTTCAGCTTCTCTGTAAGAGAATTCATGTTTACAGACAATGATTAAATGATGTAAGTTATAAATTAAACAAAGAATTCTGTTTTGCACTCTAGTCCACACATTTAGATTAAAATTTTAAAGTCGGGGGAGCCTGAATACAACCATTGATACGTTATCAATCCTACCTTTGAGTCTACCAAACTAGCCACAAAAAAATTGAGAATACTGTATTAACTAAAGCAGTGCTTCTATATAAAGCAAAAAAACAATTTCCAAAGCCCAATGTTTACACAGAAATGGATTCTAATTTGATTAACATTTTCTAAACAAGAGACCAATTAGCCTAGGCTCACAAGTATTTGGTAAGAAACAGAAATTGTTTTCTGTCCCCCAATAAAAATCCCTCAGTAATATAAAAGTGAGAAAACTCAAATATTATGTATCAAAAGGCTTAGGTGTTAAGAAACTACACAGATACTGTAGTTTCTGTCTTTTTGATCATCTCCTCCTGTTTTCAGATATTGGAAAAAAATCAAAAACCAAAACAAACCCCATCTTCTTCCTTAACACGATGGTACTAACAATTTCATTATTGCTTCTGGAATACTAAGAGAGAGAAAGCACTACCTGTGGGATTTGAACAATTTGAAGAGGGAGAGAAAAGATGCCACAGTGAACCAGTCAAGGACTATATAAAACAAGCTTGTACTTCTGGCTACTTGTCTGGCTCTTTGAGACAAAACAAACAAAAAACCTAAGAGCAAATATGGATGAAGAAATGAATTAAACCAGAGGTTCTTACCCTTCTTTGGGTCATGAATTCCTACAGGAATCTGAGGAAAGCTATGGACATCTTCCCCAGAAAAATATTCACATAATATTTTGCATATAACATCAGGGGAATGTAGATTTATTGAAAACTATTTACAGACCCAAGGTTAAGAGCCACTGAATTAAGCCAAATCTGGTTTAGCCTGCCCTTAGCAGCAGCTTAAAATTCAGAAATTATCTGCTGCTGGGAAAAACGAGGGAAGAGAGGGGGAAAAAATGTTGCAGTTAAATGAAGTCAAGGGCTACACAAAGCAAGGCCACGAAGCAAGCCAGACAATGCTCCCAATGTGTCCTTACCTGTCAAGGGCTGGCTGAGTTCCGCCTGCACTTTACCCTTCGCTGATCCTTCCAGAGGTAAACCTCTGTCCCCTTTGTAGAGTTTCGGTTTAAATGGAGAATCTTTCTCTTTACCTTTTGATCCTTTAGGCCGGCCTGCTTGCTTCTTCTTGGATTTGCCATCCCCCTTCACACCCAGTAGTGGATGGACTTCTGTAGGACAGACAGGCATGGAAAGGAATCCACATGACACCAGTCTCATCACCCCAACCACAACTTTGTTGAGCAAAGAATGTTGCTTTGTGTCCCAGATCAATTAATAATTATAAAGAGAAAAGTTTGTCTTATTTCTATAAGTATAAAACAGTGGTCATTAAATGAGAGATAGTTCCTTGGCCAAAAGGCACACATGGCTTATATTAAGCTTGTCCAATCTGTGGCCCACAGGCTACATGCGGCCTAGGACAGCTTTGAATGTGGCCCAACACAAATTCATAAATTTTCTTAAAACATTATGAGTTTTTTTTGCAATTTTTAAAAATCTCATCAGCTATCATTACTGTTAGTGTATTTTATATGTGGCCCAAGACAATTATTCTTCCAATGTGGCCCAGGGAAGTCAAAGATTGGACACCCCTGGCTTATATGTTCATGCCAAGCCACAGTAACTCTAAACTGAACAAGTAGCTGAAAGATGCACTAATACTATCAAACCAAGCCAGAAGAAGGAACACACACAGATGCACACACACATACACAGAGAGGCATGTGAGAGCAGAAAGAGAATGGACTTTGGAACTAGAGAGACTAGAATGAGAATCCTGACCCCACCACTTCTGTGAGACTTTAGGCAAGTTTACAGAACCTCTTACACATAACCTCAGCCTAAATTTTCTCCTTTAAAAAGCAGGTAAAACAACTTGCAGGGTTGATGTAAAAGTCAGCAATGGTACATATACCAAACAGTGTCTGAAACAGAGTAGACACAGAAATCGATAGCATCAGGAAAATAAGTAGTTGCAAAATGTGATCTGCAGTTAGCTAAAAGAGAAGAGGAAGGGCCGGGCGCAGTGGTTCACGCCTGTAATCCCAGCACTTAGGGAGGCCGAGGCAGGCGGATCACTTGAGGTCTGGAGTTCGAGACCAGCCTGGCCAACACGGCAAAACCCCACCTCTACTAAAAATATGAAAATTAGCCAGGCGTGGTGGTGCATGCCTGTAGTCCCAGCTACTCGGGAGGCTGAGGCAGGAGAATTGATTGAACCCGGGAGGCGGAGGTTGCAGTGAACCAAGATCATGCCACTGCACTGCAGCCTGGGCAACAGAGCGAGACCCTGTCTCAAAAAAATAAAATAAAATAAAATAAATAAAAATAAAAGAGAAGAGGAAGAAGGATGCTCAATGGTAAACACACACCCCCATCCATCCCTACTTATCCCAAGACATGATAATAAAGGCTTCCCAAGTCAGACTCTAAAAGGTGGCAGGAAGGATGAAATGATTGTCCAAGTCTAACTAGTATTTTACATCTAATAAAACCACTCTACGGGGAAACATTTAAAAGAAGAATGGTATAATAAACTCTGAGCCGGCTGTCAGAAGAATTAAAGTGCAGCATCTTAGGCAAAGTACTGAAGGGCAGAATTTCTCCATTTTAAGAGAGAAGTGAACACAGACGCAATCATTATAAAGTTGTAAAACACTATAAAACAGACTCATGGGAAAATTCCTCTAAGGTGAAATCGCTCAAACAGGAAATTACCAGGTTGCGCTGGGGAGTGAGTAGAAAGTGGCGTCTGCCAGGCCAGAGGGAGAAGATGTAGCTCTTACCATCATTTGGTACTCCTTGAAGTTCTATATTGGTTGTTTTGGGTTTCTTCTTAGGTGGCTGGGACCCATCTGCTGAGGACTGCCTCTTCTTCTCTGAACTAGCCCCTTCATCCATCAAGGAGGTTTGGACTGCATCCGGTGGGGGGCCGTAAGGATTTTCTTCTGGGTCTTCTACCTCAGGGGCAATGGGTAAATACAATAGAGCCTTTGAATCTTCCAGCTCTTCATCACTATTTGGAGCAGGATCAGACAAGGGATTGGAAAAAAGAGGAGATAGTTGCTTAAACCATGAGCCCTTCCTCTATCACCTATATTAAGCATAAGCAACAGGTATGGATCTAGAACTTTAAGAAAGCCAAGAAGAATAAAAGGGAATCAAACAATGTAATTGATAAAATTGGTGATAAAAATAAACAGGATAAATGAATTATTTTGGTTCCTTAAAATTCTCTATCAGGGAGAAGTGAAAGGAACATAGGACTAGAGAAGAAAGGCTACATTGGATTTCTTGTACACCAAACGAGTTATCTCTTTTAGCTAATAAGCAGACGGGAATGAAGGGATAGCCAGGGAAACTGCAGAGTACTCCCCCAGAGGCCAGGAGCAGCAGTAGCCAAGGTGCCCAGCCTTCCGGGCCGGCTCACCTGCTACAGAAGGCAGCAATAGGGTCCACGCTGGTGACATCCACTTCCTCATCTTCTGCAGCATCAGCCCCTGCAGGACAGAAACACAGGAGATGTTTGAGAAGAAGTGAAAAACTGCTTTTTATTTGCAGCTTCAAGGTTTTCATAAGTTGAAATTCCAGAGAAACAAAGGAGGAAAACCAAACAGTTCACTTCACTTAATCATTTAACAAATATGTGCTGAATTTCCACCCTATCCTAGGCACTGAAAATAGTGCAATGACCCAGAAAAAGTTGGGAACAGCTCTTCAGTAAAAGGTTTATAGTCTAACTGGGGAGACAGAGAGACAGTTTCAATTTAATACAGTAATGGTATGTGTAACTTGCTCAGGATATGGGAAGGAGGAACAATTTATGTGGAAATCTGGGAAGGTTTGACAGAACATAACCCTATAATCTAGAACATTCTACTTCCCTGGAGGTCCTCCTAAAACACATTAGGCATGCAAGTTATCTAATATCACAAAAGTGAGGACCAGCACTTTGACACTAAACAGAATCAACCTCATTCCCAATCCTGATTCCTGGCACCATCAAGTATCTCGGGGGTCAATAATCTGTGGCATTAATTACTCACTGACAGTGCCAACTGGGCATCCTAAGCATTCACCCGCACAAACCTTACTATGTTATAAAGCCCTGTGTTAGACACCACGGGGATTAAAAAGTCAAATCTTTATTCTCAAGGAGCTCCTATCTAGAAATTCAGAAGAGATAAAATCACAGTCATAATCATAATGGAAATTAATATCTTAGTGCTTATTATGGCCTAGGCATATATTAAATGCTTTACATGAATTATTTCACTTACTCCCCACAACCCTAAAAAGCAGGTACTATTACTGTCCCTATTTTACAGATGAGGAAATTCAGTTTAAGCAGTATTTTGCCCAAGGCAGTCTGACTTCAGAGCCCAGGTTCTTGACCCTTCTCTTACTGACAAAGGAGTGACAGAATACATGGGAAAAGCTGAGCACTCTTAGCATGGTGAGTTCTTTGCTAGGTGCTGCATGTATGTCCTCACTTAGTCATCTGCAATTAATCAGGAAATACACAATGATATGTTAAGAGAGCTGCTTGAGCCCTGGTAATACCCATATAAGCCCTTAGTAAACACCTTATAAATTAAGGCTCTCCAAATACTGTGGAAATTGTGTAAGCTTAAAGAAAAAAGAAGGCCAGGCACAGTGGTTCATAGGCCAGGCACAGTGGCTCATGTCTGTAATGGCAGCACTTTGGGAGGCCAAAGTGGGTGGATCACCTGAGGTCAGGAGTTCCAGACCAGCCTGGCCAACATGGGGAAACCCCATCTCTACTAAAAATACAAAAAATTCGCTGGGAGTGGTGGCAGGCACCTGTAATCCCAGCTACTCGGGAGGCTGAGGCAGGAGAATCACTTGAACCCAGGGGGCAGAGGTTGCAGTGAGCCAAAATCACATCATTGCATCCAGCCTGGGTGACAAGAGCGAAATTCCATCTCAAAAAAAAAAAAAAAAAAAAGTGTGGGGTGGAGGGGGGCATTTTAGATGAAGTGCTGAAATAAATTTACAACACAAATGAAGAATATTAAGTAAAGCAATCATTTTCCCTTTAGGAAATCCTGTCTGCAATTTAGAAATAGTACCTGTCTGCTCAGGCTCACTCTTATCTTCATCTTCAATATCAAACTCTGATTCCCTTTCTTCGTATTCTACATTTTCATCCAATTCTTTGAAGTCTGGTGCAAATGCACTCCAGTTTTCCTATACAACAAGATATACTACTTAACCATATGTGAAAGCAATAATCTGTAATCTACACATTAATGATAAAATGAAAGATGTGAGCATGAAAGGAATTCACAATTCTTAGATTAAATTTGGCAGACAAGAAAAAAATGGGTATCTGTAAGTTTTACTAGCTTAGGTATTTTCTATCTTAAACATTAAGATAAGCTAAGTTATTAACTGTAGCTCTTTTGAATCACTGCCTTCTTTGGTCATTTTAGGAATTTAGAGGTAAAATGTTAAATTTTCTTGTAAGTACACTGATTACAAACATAATTTAAAGGTGTTCAAAGTAAAATTAAGATGTAAAACAGAAACTGAGCTGAAAGTAAGAAAAGCAAAAGAAAAATGTTATCTCAAATAAATAATAGAAAAATGCAACAGAAAGTTCAATAGAGTTTCTCCCTGAAAAGAGCCAGAAAACCAACTTGGGACCAAGACCTTCCCACCAAAATAAAGTGCAACTAGATGCACTGAACCTATGTAATTTAGGTTGCGAGAATCATATGCAAAAGAAAATAAAAATGTAATTTTTAGCTTCCTATGTATAAGGTTCTTTGATAAAAAGAAGGGGTAACTAGTTTCGAAGCAAGTAAAATAGAATACTTACTACTTGATTCTGTGCCCAGATAGATACCACTCCACTGGAAATGGATGCTATGATGGGTCGAACAGGATGCCACTAAATTTTAGTGAAGGAAAGAAAAACAGGTTGTTAAGAACAGATTTTAGATTTTTTGGATTATGTGACTAACAAAAGCAATGTCCTAATGTACTCACAGCTACATCCAAGAGGAGTTCTCCTCTCGTCCCATGGAGAATCTTCACCAGGTTGCCAATGCTCTTCTCCCAGATGTACAGGGCATGCTGCCGGGCAGAACCTGCCACGATGTATTCCCCATCCCCAGAGAAACAACATTTCTTCCATGGGGTCCTAAAGGACAAGGAAAGTACCAAGGAGAGCTGGAACTCAAGCCCAGGTCATGAATGATCACATATTCTTCTAGGTTGTGATACATACCTATTCACCAAATCCTGCAATTTCTGCATAGGTTCAGGCTCTCCATCTCTTCCACATGTTAAGATTTCTCTGCCATCATAAACTCTGATTATTCGATCTGCCGTGTTAATTAAAAAGCAACTACGGGAAGGATAAAAATATCAACACCAGAGGTCAGAAATCTGTTCCTTAGTACTACAAAACGACTAATAAACTAGGGAAGAATTGAGGAAAAATCAAAGTAATAGACTAGAATATTTATATATCTACTTGTCATCTCCCAAACCAAAATACAATTTTAAGTGGGAATATGTTTTATACTTCCTGTGTATCCCTGAACCCAAAATATACAAATTGTCAGCATTAACTAAGTTCCAAGACCTCTCTACTGAAACCAGCTTCCTAAATTCCCAAGTTTACAGTGAAATGGATATAAATACTTCATCTCTCTGGCCTGTTTTACACATAATATATATTTTTTAAATGAGGTAATAAACTAAATATGTCATTTTAAAATGTCATTTTTACTGTAATGACATTGAAAATCTTAGAAATCTGTATGAAATATTAGTTATTTCATCACTTTCTTGCAGACTTCACTGACTATAACCTTTTCTTAATTCAAGAGAATTTTGAACATTAATATCCTCTAAGTCAGCTGTCCCCAACATTTTTGGCACCAGGGACTGGTTTTGTGGAAGACAATTTTTCCACGGCCCAGGCTGGTGGGAGGATTATGGTTTCAGGATGATACTGTTCCACCTCAGATCATCAGGCATTAGATTCTCATAAGGAGTGTACAACCTAGATCCCTCACATGTGCAGTTCAAAATAGGGTCCGTGCTCCTATGAGAATCTAATGCTGCTGCTGATCTGACAGGAGGCAGAGCTCAGGTGGTAATGCTCACCTCCAGCTGTGTGGCAGGGTTCCTAACAGGCCAATACTGGTCTGTGGCCTGGGGGTTGGGGACCCCTGCTCTAAGTCATGTATGGGTGTTCCTAAACAAAATAGGAGGACTATTACCTCTTACTGACAACGTATTTCCTATTTCTGTTGATATATTCTACGACTTCTAACTAGGTAACCAAACCTACCAGAATAACATCCAAAATTAAAAGGGTAAATAGGCAGTATTCAGTTACAATGTGAATTTGATGACATCAGTCCTGATGATAATAAGTTAATATATACCCAGTGCTTACTATATGCCAGGCATTTTGGTTTTAAGCACTGACCACTTACTTATTTTTCTGTAAAGTAACCGCCTGATAACCTCCAGATAAGGAAGATGTAACTACGGCAGGAAATGTTATGAACTCGAAAACCAGATATTGTAAGTTTCTAAAAACCTTAAGTACATTTTTAAAAAATGCTTAAGTATAATATACATGAAAACTGCAAATCTCCATGTATTTTTGCATTCTATTCACTCTTAAAACTGTCCCTTAAAAGGTAAGATCTCACTCACCTCCCCTTCCGGGCAAACTCAATTGACTTAATGGCTGTGGTATTGCTTGTTCCAGTTGTCACTCTGAAGGAAGCAACAAGATCCTGAGAATCTGTTTTTAGGACCAAAATCTAAAGTTTAAAGGAGGGGGGAAAAAAGTAAGTGTTCCAATAACTAACAATAATTGATTTGGCTTGTTTCTAATACTGCGTAAAGACTGGGTAAAAATGCAAATGTCTCTATTCCCATATATTTGACCTGATTAACTGGTATTGCTGTTTTGCTTCCTTAAGTAAGACAAGGTCTTAATCTAGTCTTTTTTTTTTTTTTTTTTTGAAACGGAGTTTCGCTCTTGTTGCCCAGGCTGGAGTGCAATGGTGCAATCTCGGCTCACTGCAACCTCTGCCTCCTGGGTTCAAGCAATTCTCCTGCCTCAGCCTCCTGAGTAGCTGGGATTACACGCATGCGCCACGACGCCTGGCTAATTTTGTATTTTTAGTAGAGACAGGGTTTCTTCATGTTGGTCAGGCTGGTCTCAAACTCCCAACCTCAGGTGATCCGCCCACCTCGGCCTCCCAAAGTGCTGGGATTACAGGCATTCACCACCACGCCTGGCCAATCTATTCTTAAAATATGATGTTTAGCATTATTCACAATAACCAAAATATAGAAGCAACCCAAGTATCCACAGATAAGCCATATAAACAAAAGTGGTATAAACATAAAATGGAGTATTATTGAGCCTTGAGAAGAAGGAGAAAGATTCTGACACATGCTACACACATGGGTGAAGCTTGAGGACATGAAACTAAGTGAAATAAGCCAGTCACAAAAGGGCAAATACTATATGATTCCCCTTATATGAGGTACCTGGAGTAGTCAAATTCATAAAGAGAGAAGGTCAAAGGGTGTTTCTAGGGGCTGGCGGAGAGCAGGGAATGGGAAATTATGATTCAATAGGTACAGAATTCCAGTTTTACAAGAAGAAAAGATTTCTAAAGATGGATGGTGATCATTGCACAATAGAGTGAATGTACATTAATTACCACTGAACTGTACAGTTAAATATGGCTGAAATGGTAAAATTTATGCTGTGTGTATTTTATCACAATTTCTTAAAAATCAACTTTCTAGGCCAGGCGCGGTGGTTCACACCTATAATCCCAGCACTTTAGGAGGCTGAAGCAAGTGGATCACCTGAGGTTGGGAGTTCAAGACCAGCCTGATCAACATGGAGAGACCCCGTCTCTACTAAAAATACAAAATTAGCCAGGTGTGGTGATGAATGCCTGTAATCCCAGCTACTCGGGAGGCTGAGGCAGGAGAATCGCTGGAACCCGGGAGGGAGAGGTTGCGGTGAACTGAGATGGTGCCATTGCACTCCAGCCTGGGCAACAACAAGAGCGAAACTCCATCTCAAAAAAAAAAAAAAAAATTGCCTTTCTAAGGCCGGGTGCAGTGGCTCACACCTATAATCACGGCACTTTAGGAGGCTGAGGTGGGCGGATCACTTGAGGTCAGGAGTAATTCCAGCTACTCAAGAGGCTGAGGCAGGAGATTCGCTTGAACCCAGGAGATGGAGGTTGCAGTGAGCCGAGATCATGCACTGCACTTTAGCCTAGGCAACAGAGTGAGACTCCATCTCAAAAAAAAAAAAAAAAAAAGGAAAAATTGCCTTTCTAAAATAGCCATGAAATTATACTAACCCATGTGCCACAGTCAAAAAATAAAAATAAAAATAAATCAAGATGCCCAGTGGAACTATCCTAAGCATGAAAAGAATCTTTAAAAGGTCACCTAACCTGACTTCTTATTCCACAGAAGAAACACCTTCTACAATGTATTCCAGAGAAAAGGGCCTACACATTCCAAAAGGCAAAGTCAGAAGTTTGAAGGAAAAAGAAGAATAAGTCTCAGTACTGTAAGTTAAGCTGGCCTGAATTATACAATCTTTTATAAAACCAGATATTGAGAAATTTTGATCAGCAGTGTTCCAGCTGATAACATGACATTGAAATTTTATAATTTCATAATGGCCCTTCATTACTAGCATCCAGTAAAGGTCCTCCCATGCTTTTCTAGGTCAAATAATCTCTATCACTCTAAATCCAAAGAACAAAAATTATTATTAAGAGATGGAAGAAAATTAGACTACATTTGCTGCAGAAAGGAGCTGTGCTTAGTCCAAGAATAAAAACAATTTTCAAAAGAAACAAAACAAGTAAACATTAAATGAGCCAGTGTACAAGATGCCTGATTTGCCAGCTTTTAGGCTTACCTTGCCTTTTGCGTTTCCCGTATAAATATATTCCCCTCGCCTATCAAAAGATGCCACAACGTTCAAATCGGAGTCATCGTCCACCGGCAGAACAACATGTTTGGAATCTGAAAGGGTCAACATGACAGGAGCAGATTTCATGGGACACACGAGAACCTTGTTCCTGTTTAAAAATACGAACAGTACATTGGCTGTTGCTTTGGTATCAGCAAGCTGATTCCCTGTCCTTTTCCCTGATCCCTGTCCATACCCTCATCAATTCTCCCACCCAAGCAAATTTGAAACAGTGAAAAAGCATAAAATCCACAGGTCTAATAACAGGGAAAATTCTGAGTAAAATTAGTCTTGACAAAATAAAACATGATCATTAAAAAAAAGTAAGAGGCCAGGTGCAGTGGCTCACGCCTGTAATCCCAGCACTTTGGGGAGGCTGAGGCGGGCAGATCACTTGAGGTCAGGAGTTCGAGACCAGCCTGGCCAACATGGTGAAACCCCATCTCTACTAAAAATACAAAAACTTAGCCGGATGTGGTGCCTGCACCTGTAATCCCAGCTACTTGGGAGGCCGAGGCAAGAGAATCGCTTGAAAACAGGAGGAGGAGGGTGCAGTAAGCTGAGACTGTGCCATTGCACTCCAGCTAGAGCGTCGCAGCGAGACTCCATCTCAAAAAAATTAAAATTTAAATTAAAAAAAACGCATTCAGGGCCAGGCGCAGTGGCTCATGCCTGTAATTCCAGCACTTTGGGAGGCTGAGGTGGACAGATCACGAGGTCAGGAGTTCGAGACCAACCTGGCCAACATGGGGATACTCTGTCTCTGCTAAAAATACAAAAATTAGCCAGGCATGGTGGCACGCACCTGCAGTCCCAGCTACTCGAGAGGCTGAGGCAGGAGAATCTTGAACCCAGGAGGCAGAGGTTGTGTGAGCCAAGATGGCGCCACTGCACTCCAGCCTGGGTGACAGAGCAGGACTCTGTCTCAAAAAAAAGAAAGAAAGAAAGAAAGAAATGTATTCAGTAGAGCCAACCTAGATGGAAAGATTATTTTATGTAGAAGGTTTGAAGAGATGTGTATTTGCCTTCTAAAACCATAAACTAAAATTATCATGAGCCCAGAGCTAATCCATATAGAATTAGACCCCACCCCAGGAGAGAAATAGCTTAAACATACTGATCTCGTGGATGATATTGGACTTTTAAGATGGGTGAAGGGAATCGAAACCTCTGGTCACAGTCGCCTGAAAGAACATCCCACTGTGACACTATGTTATCAGTGGAAGCACTCACGAGTTTATGACCATCTCGGCTCCAGCTGAGGAAAAAAAAGGGGTAATTTAGCACATATTCTAAGTATATCATACCACTCTCATGAATAAACTGTGTAAGTCACACACATTGCTGCAACTGCACAGGTCAACAATGTTTTTGGTTTTGTTCCACGTATACTCAAATCCATAAGCTTTTCCAACTAGGCAATTAATAAGAAGGTTTTCATGACATTTTACTATCTAGTAATGGAAGCTCATAATATTTCAAGATAAAACTATAAAGTGACTCAGTGAAATAAGAGATTAAAACATCTTAGAAGAGTCTAAAAAATCAGCTGCGCTTTAAGAGTTGATATATTTGAACTTTCTGAAGTCATCTCAGAAGTAGCACCATCATGGTATAAACAAAACAAAAAAATGATAAGTATCTGTTATTTAAAATAATTTTAAAAGAACTGAGAAAGAATTAATTCCTCCTGGTAAGTACAGATAAACACACTGGACATAATATATAAAACAGACAAAAAAGGTTCTGAAAGGTAGACAAAGGACAGGCAAGCCAGAGACTGTAGAATCTTAAGGATGACACAGTAGTGAAATCCCTGAATTTTCTGCCTCATGTTCCCCGTTCTGGGTGAAGGAGAAGCCAACAACCTGGTAATGCCAGTGGGCACGCATAAAAAGCCCCAAGAAGAGCTAAGGGACCAGAAAAGGACAGCCCAGCAAGACAGAAAACTTTAAGACAATAACCAACCTACGCCAGCCAAACATCACAGAAAAGAAATGCAAATCCCCCTCTTAGCCAGGTTGAAGCAGATAGCCTAGACTTCACCTTTATCCAGCTATAACAAGGCACCCTCCCCACCTCACTGGGGTGGTGTCAGAGAAGGATCAGTAGAGAATCAGATTTGCATTACCACCAGCAGTAATGAGGTCGCACCACCATGGTGTCAGAGAAGGACACATAGAGAGAAGGAACAAGGAATTCCTATCCTTCCCAGACAGGATGTTATCAGCAGAGACCTAGTGGAGAGCCTAAACTTCCAATCCCACCCAGCAGTAATGAGGCCAAGTAAGAAGAAACCTGGACTTTCACCCACCTCTGGGAATAACAAGATGGTACACTCCATTTCCCTGTGCAGTATCAGAGGAGGCCTGCTAAACTAAAAGATTTAAATAACATCTATAGGACGGGCGCAATGGCTCACACCTGTAATCCCAGCACTTTGGGAGGCCAAGGCAGGCAAATCACTTGAGGCCCAGAGTTTGAGACCAGCCTGGCCGACATGGTGAAACTCCGTTGTCTACTAAAAATACAAAAAATTAGCCGGGCATGGTGGTGTGCACCTGTAGTCCCAGCTACTCGGGAGGCTTGAGGCAGGAGAATCGCTTGAACCTGGGAGGCAGAAGTTGCAGTGACCCAAGATGGCGCCACTGGGCTCCAGCCTAGGCAACAGAGTGAGACTCTGTCTCAAGAAAAAGTAAAAAATAAATAAGATCTACAGTCTCATAATACCCAAAATGCCCAGGTTTCAACTGAAAATCACTTGTCAACTCAAGAACAAAGAAAATCTCAACTCGAATAAGAAAAGACAATCAATAGACACTAATACAGAAATGACATAAATGTTAGAATTATCTGACAAGGATTATAATGCAGCCATCATAAAAATGCTTCAACAATTATGAACATGCCTGAAACAGATGGGGAAAAAAGCCCAGAAAATCTTAGCAAAGAAACAGAAGATACAGAGAAGAACCAAATGGGAATTTTAGAACTGAAAAATATAGTAACAGAAATAAACTCAATAGATGAATTCAGCAGCCAATGGAGGAAAAAAAGGGAAAGAATTAGCAAACTGGAAGATGGAATAAAAATTACCATAGACATATATATATATGTGTCTGTGTGTATATATGTGTGTATATGTATGTGTGTGTGTGTGTATACATATATATATATACACACACACACACATATGTATCTATACACACAGAGCCTCAGAGACCTGTAGAACTATAACAAAAGATGTAATATTCATGTCATCAGAATCCTGGAAGGAGAGAATACAGACTGGGATGTTAAGGTTATTTGAAGAAATAATGGCTGAAAATTTCCTAAATCTGGCAAGAGATACAAAACCTACAGATTCAAGAACATCAACTAGGATGAGCCCAAAGAAATCCACTCCGAGAAATACAAACTTCTGAAAACTAAAGACAATGAAAAAATCTTGAAAGCTGCAAGAGAAAAATGATGCCTTATCTATAGGGGAACAACAATATGAATGAAAAGGGATTTCTCATCAGAAACCATGAAGGCCAGAAGGAAGTGGCACATTTTTCAAGCACTGAAAGAAAAGAACTGTCATTCCAGGAATAAACGGGTAAACTGAGACACTTGTTGCTAGCAGACATACTCTAAAGAATGGCTACATAATGTTCGGAAAAGATTAAAGGAAGGGTTTAGAACATCAGGAAGGAAGAATGAACAATGAAAAGAGTATAAATATATGGGTAGATAAAATTACTTTTTCTAAGCCAGGTGCGGTGGCTCACGCCTATAATCCCAGTACTTTGGGAGGCCAAGGTAGGTGGATCACCTGAGGTTGGCAGTTGGAGACCAGCCTGGCCAACATGCTGAAAACCCGTCTCTACTAAAAATACAAAAATTAGCCAGGCATGGTAGCACATGCCTATAATCCCAGCTACTTGGGAGCCTGAGGCTAAAGAATCGCTTGAAACCAGGAGGCAGAGGTTGCAGTGAGCCGAGATCGCGCTATTGCACTCCAGCCTGGGTAACAAGAGCAAAAATCTGTCTCAAAAAAAAAAAAAAAAAGGCAGGCGCTGTGGCTCACGCCTGTAATCCCAGCACTTTAGGAGGTCAAGGCGGGCGGATCATGAGGTCAAGAGATCGAGACCATCCTGGTCAACATGGTGAAACCCGGTCTCTACTAAAAATACAAAAATTAGCTGGGTGTGGTAGTGCACGCCTGTAGTCCCAGCTACTCGGGAGGCTGAGGCTGGAGAATCACTTGAACTTGGGAGGCGGAGGTTGCAGTGAGCAGATATCGCAGCATTGCACTCCAGCCTGGGTGACAGAGCATGAATCCGTCTCAAAAAAAAAAAAAATTACTTTTTCTCTTCTTGAGTTTTGATGTTTGAAACACACATTTTAACACTGTCTTATGTGGGTGTCAATGTATGTAGAGCAAATATTTAAGACAATTATATTACACACAAGAAAGGACAAGGGGACAACAGGAAGGTAAGGTTTCTACACTTCACTTGAACTGGTAAAATGTTCACCAATACAACTTATCACCAGTAGACTGTGGTAAGTTATAAATGTATGATGTAAAACCTAGTAACCACTAAAGCTACACAAGGGTATACACTCAAAAAACACTACAGATAAAGCAAAATGGAATTCTAAAAACTTGTCCAAGTAGCCCACAGGAAGGCAGGAAACAAAAACAAAAAACAAATGGAACAAGTAAAAAAGTAACCCAAAACCGATACTTTACCCAGGTTTTGAAATCAAGAGGAGGTGCTATTGAGAAACTCAGCAGGCAATATAATCTCCATGGTTAAGAATATGGCTCAAAAGTCAGACTTCTACTCAAGCCTAGACATTACTACCTCCTAGCTGTGTGATCTTAGCACGTTACTTAAGCTTTATGGGCTTCAATTTCCTCATCTATAACACAGGAATAAAAACGGTATCGACCTGCAGAAGGCTGTTGAAAGAATTTAATACATACAGAATTCTTGGCTTGGCACATAATAAGTACTCAATGCCTGATACATAATAAGTGCTCAATGCCTGGTACATAATAAGTGCTCAAAAAATTATTTATATCAGAGACAAAATAAATATACTGCCAGACTCAGGACTCTAGGAACAGAGGAAGGCAGGGGTAAGCTAAGGTTATAAATATAGAGGGATTAAGTTAAAGCCTGCACACAAAAGGACTCTGTGTGTCTCTTCTACTGGGTCTAGAATACCTGTAGTCAGGCAATCAGTGAGTCCTTCTAGAGAATGTCAACTCTAAAGAGGCCTAAAGGTGTTAAAATGCAAAGGTGCACAATAAAAAAGCCAATAGCTGGATGATGATGATGATAGGAGGGTAAAAGGGTGGATGATGGGAGGGTAAAGGGTAAGTTAAAATTCAAATACACTGTAACAGGAAACCCAATTTCTGAAATTAACAAACCAAGAAAAAGCAATACACATTATATCAGAAATATGAAGCTAAACAGCAGAAGAAATAGCCCCCAAAAATAGAAGTCTACTGGGAATGGCACAAGACTGAGAGTGAGGAGAAAAAAGGAACAGGTTTCGTTGCTATTCTTGTAGGCCTGTTAGCACAATTTGACTATAGAACAAAATGTTAGCTATGATTCTATTTTCCCTCTAAACTCTTCTGTACTAGGGGGTGGGTGGGGTAAAAAAAAAAAGAAAAAAAACCTACTGCTACTGCACTATAATTTTTGTTTTCTTTCACAGCAAGCTTGTATTTCTGTCATAATGGAGGGAAATCTAACTAAAAATTAAGTTATAAACAAAAGTAAAAACTAAAAAAAAATTTATTCTTCAATTCCAAATTCCATAACCTCAAGAATTAGGAATTATACTTTTTCACAGCTTCTTTCCCAAAAACAGATGGGTCTTTACTGATTCCAATGTGCTAAAGTCTACCTATGGCCCCCATCCAGTGCTTGAATTTCTTCTGCAGCATCCTAACAAGGGGGGTGGCAAGCTCAGGCAGGAACAGCTCTCAGATAGCTCTCTCCTGGGCAGTCAATCCCACCCACAGCACCTCTGCTTGGGAGCTCCTCTCTACTTGGAGTTAACTTTGTTTCCCTATAGCTAACTTCTGTTCACTACCTACTAGTTCTGTTTTGTTTTTTGGGTTTTTTTTTTCCGAGACAGGGTCTCGCTCTGTCGCCCAGGCAGATCCCGGCTCACCGCAACCTCCATATGCCGGTTCAAGCGATTCTCCTGCCTCAGCCTCCCGAGTAGCTGGGATTACAGGCGCATGTCACCGCACCCAGCTAATTTTTGTATTTTTAGTAGAGACGGAGTTTCACCATGTTGTCCAGGCTGGTCTCGAACTCCTGACCTCAAGTGATTGGTGAGCCTCGGCCTCTGAAAGTGCTGGGATTACAGGCATGAGCCACCGTGCCCAGCCAGTACCTACCAGTTCTGCTTCTACATCCTGGGCCATTTTTTCTCTCTTTCATACATCAACTTTACTAATAGTTGAAGTCAGCTATCATGCCTACCTAAAACTTCCCTTGGTAAAATTTGTTCCCTAATATGCTCAAATAAGGAACAGTTAAATCTATGATGCATGTATACTGTGCAATACTCTATAGACACAACTATATAAAATAAGGAGACACAGAGAAATATCCACTATATGCTAAGTGGAAAAGCAAGCTACAGAACAAAATATATTTATTTTTGTTTAAAAACATATTATGTGGATATATGTATTAATTATTTCCCACATAAAAAGATATAGATATCTTATAGATAGAATATATTCCACACTCTTTAACAGTGGTTACCCTAAGAAGTAGACAAAGGGCTTTCATTTTTTACTTTGCATATTTATATATTCTTTTAATTTTTAAAAATATTTTTAAATGGCCAAGCACGGTGGCTCACTACTGTAATCTTGGCACTTTGGGAGGCCAAGGCAGGCAGATCACCTGAGGTCGGGAGGTCAAGACTGGCCTGGCCAACATGGTGAAACCCCACCTCTACTAAAAATACAAAACTTAGCCGGGCGTGGTGGCCTGCTTCTGTAATCCCAGCTACTCAGGAGGCTGAGGCAGGAGAATCACTTGAATCTGGGAGGCGGAGGTTGCAGTGAGCCGAGATCGTGCCACTGCACTCCAGCCTGGGTGACAGAGCAAGACTCTGTCTCGAAAAAATTTAAAAAAAACAAAAAACTTTTAAATAATCAAGTATAGGTTTTGTGATTTTAAAATATTAAAAATGTTGGAGGGAGGGGTTGAAAAATCTCTTACTTTATATCCTTTGACTGACTAATAACACTTCTGGAAGTCTACTGTAATGAGAACTCATAGACCAAATGCCCTTTGGGCATCTCAGATGCTTATTGGGACATTTCCCATTCATCCGACAAGTATCTGAATGGCTACTGTATATCAGGTACAACGCTAGAAGCTGAGAACATAGCAGTGAAATGGCACACAAGGTTTGTACTCAAACAGCACTTAAGATCTTACAGGGAAGATACTCTAACACAAATATTTGCAATAAACTAACATGAAAATAATAGGAGACATGCAACCATAATCTCAAACTCACCACTTCCCCCTCAAATCTTCCATTAATGAGTATCTTCAACCAAGCCAGAAACCTAAGAATTATCTTAACTTCTCCATTTCACTCACACCCCAATCAAATTAATGACTAAGTCCTCTTATTTCTACCATTTCTCACATCTGTCTAACTTGGCTCCTTTCTTACTGCAACACTCATTATCTCCAGCCTAGACCACAGCAGTTCTCCTATGTTCACTTACTGTTGCCCCTTCAATCTCTTTTCTACTTGTTGCTTTGAAGATCTTTCTAAAATAAAAGCTCATCATGTGACTTTCCTGCCAAAATCTTTTAATGACTTCAGAGTACATATGAGCTAGGAATCAAATTCCTGAGTATGGCAGACGAGGTTCTCCATGAGGACCTTGGTTTACCTTGGCTCTTGTCATATCGTATGTCCCATACCACAATCCAGCTATCCTGATACCTGTAGTTCCCCATTGTACCATACTTGTTTCAAGCTGATATGCCTTGGCCTGTGCAGTGCCCTCTGCTTGGAATATATCTGGCAACATCTACTTATCTTACAAATTTAAAGTTATAAATTATCTGGCTGGGCATGGAGGCTCACACCTGCAATCCTAACAGTTTGGGAGGCCAAGGCAAGCAGATTACCTGAGGTCAGTAGTTCAAGACCAGCCTGGCCAACATGGCAAAACACTGTCTCTACTAAAAATACAAAAATCAGCCGGTCATGGTGGTGTGCACCTGTAATTCCAGCTACTCAGGAGGTTGAGGCAGGAGAATTGCCTGAACCCGGGAGGTGGAGGTTGCAGTGAGCCGAGATCGCACCACTGCATTCCAGCCTGGGCAACAGAGCAAGACTCTGTCTCAAAAAAATTAAAATAAAATACAGTTATAAATTATCTCATCTATGACGGCTTTTCTGACCGTTATTCCCCTTCACTACAATTGATAACTTCCTTCTTTGTGCTTTCATCTCCACTAAATCTTAAATATAGTTCTTGTATAGGACATATAAAGCTTTAGTATATGTACCTGTATGCAAATCCACCTCCCACTAATCATCTAGAATTTCTCATTTGTTTTTGTGTCCCCAGAGCCTAACATAGCACCTGGTACATAACTCATGGTCAACACCTGCTGAATAAATGAATGAATGAATATATAAGAAAAACTATGGCACAAAGACATTCACTAAACACTATGTAGTTGAGGAAAAAAAACAGAAAATGGTTAAGTAAATTATGGTTTATCAGACAATATACAGTCATTTAAAAAGTTGTTAAAGGCTACTCAAGCAGAAAAATGTCGAGACAGTATTAGGAGGGAAAAGCAAAATACAGAATATAGCACAATTACAAACTATGCTTTAAAAAATCATATCTAGAAACTGGGCAGACATGGTGGCTCACACCTGTAATCCCAGCACTTTGGGAGGCTGAGGCAGGAGGATCGATTGAAGCCAGGAGTTCAAGACAAGCCTGAGCAACACAGCAAGACCCTGTCTCTATAAAAAATTTTTTAAAATTAGCCAGGCATGGTGGCGCACATCTGTAGACCTAGCTACGCGGGAGGATCACTTGAGCCTGGGATTTCAAGGTTGCAGTGAACTGTGATCGTGCCTGTGACTAGCCACTGCACTCCAGCCTGGGCCACAGAGCAAGACCCTGTCTCAGCAACAACAACAAAAATCTATACGTACAAAGTAGTAGTATCTGGTTAGGAGGACTACAGAAAATACTAGTTATCTCTATTTTGTTTTATTTTCCATGATTTTCTAGAATAAGTATATATTAGTATATAATAAAAACACACATATTTTTAATAGGTAAGAGTTCTTTTTTTTTTTAAGAGACAAGGTTTATTGTCACCCAGGCACTGGAGTGCAGTGGCACAATCATGGCTCATTACAGCCTAGAACTCCTGTGTTCAAGTGATTCTCCCACTTCAGCTTCCTAAGTAGCCAGGACTACAGATGTGCACCATACACCCAGCTAATTTTTTTACTTTTTGTAGAGATGAGGTCTCACTATGTTGGTCTCCTGGGCTCAAGGAATCCTCTCATCTCAGCCTCCCAAAGCGCTGGGATTATAGGCATGAGCCAACGCATCTCGCCAGGAGTTCTAAAATTATATTGTGATGATGGTTGCACAACTCTGAATATATAAAAACTTGTGAATTGTACACTCGAAATTTTATATTATGTGAAACACATACACACACACATAAAAATGTGTATTTTTTTTTTTTTTTTGAAACAGAGTCTCACTCTGTTGCCCAGGCTAGAGTGCAGTGGCACAATCTCAGCTCACTGCAACCTCTGCCTTCCAGGTTCAAGCGATTCTCCTGCCTCAGCCTCCCAAGTAGCTGGGATTACAGGCACCCGCCAACATGCCTGGCGAATTTTTGTATTTTTAGTAGAGACGGGGTTTCACCATGTTGGCCAGGCCAGTCTCAAACTCCTGACCTCAAGTGACCTACCCGCCTCAGCCTCCCAAAGTGCTGGGATTACAGGCGTGAACCACCGCGCCTGGCCCTATTTGAATCTTTATTGCAAGAATACAACAAAAAAGAAACAGAAAGGCGGTGGAAGGAACCTAAGAGATCATCCAGGCCAGTGCTTCCTGGATTATTGGATATGAAAGAAAAGTTTTGGCCCAGGCCACCAGTACTTTACTGGCCAAACTTTACTGTGATTCAGGCCTCCTCCCAATCCAGTGCTTTATAATACCATTTAGACAAAAGGAGATAGACTTAACCTTGATCTGATTAGGTCCTTTTGTTGGCCCCAAGTTCATTTAAAAAAAATGCTGCCCCAAAATAAAATTTTCTGAAGCAAATAGTTTCAGAGAGCAAGAGTGAAATCAATGGGAATTTATGTTACAGCAGATTTCAACTGTTTTTACGTTTTCTATAAAGCCTTAATAACTATATTTCATTGAAGGAATAGTCATACTTGTGACCACTAAAATTACTGGAATTCAGTAAACTGCACAAAACTGGACTCGATGACTTCCAAGCTTCTGTCCTAACCGAGACTTTTTATTCTAAATGAAAAGTCAATATCACAATTATACTACAATTACAATCTGAAAATATTTCATTTCAGTATTGAGATATTCTCAGCGCCTGATACAGATCCATAATACAATGAATTTCTCCCAAGAAAGGTGCTTCAAGGACAGCATGGACTCAGGATCTACATAAACCATGATAAACTGTATTACTAATGGCTGAATATTTAAAAATCTAAGTATTAAAATATCTACAATGAGATTTGCAAATATATAGTCATCATTCATTCTCCTCATATTTAAATATTAATTAAAAAATGTCTTACCATAAAGAACACACTGGATGGATGTGTGCACTAATTATTTTAGCAATGCCTCTTGTCAAGAAATCCCAGATGACAATTCGGCCATCATTACAGCCAACTGCAAGCAGTGTGCCCCACCTGTTAAAGGTGCAAGTCAAAGCCATGCTGATACAATCCAAAGTTCCATCAGCTTCCTAAAAATTGAAACAAATACAAGAATAGAGGCAACAATAGCCAGGTATCCAAATTATTTCCTAAAGGTTCTTTATCACTTGTGATACTTTTATTGAATATAAATTACACTGCATACCAAATAATCTCTCTGTGTCTTCTTATATCTATTAAAATAGCCAAAATGAAGGAACATTTATTAAAGCTAACCATGGATTCTGGAAACAGATGTGATCAATCCCTTACATCACTACTATAACTTTGTATAAACTTTCTGGAGGGCAAATGGGCAAAATATAACAGAAGTATTTAAAAAGTCATATCTATTGATGCAGTCATTGTAATTCTGGGAATTTATTCCAAGAATTTAAAACAAAAAGAATTTAAACAAAAAGAATTTAAAAGAATTTTTTAAATAATTAAAAAAGAAAAACCCTGGAATAGCCTACAATGCATAACATTAGAGAAGTCAAATTATTTCATATCAATACCAAGCTATTTAAAATAACCACAATGTCTATCCTCAAACATTCAAGTGTTATAAAATAGTTTTACAATTAAAAAAGTAAAGCACATCTATAGCATACATTTTGCTTTACTACATAAAAACATTGATCAAAACGAGAAAAGCACAAACCTATGATGGTGGTGTTTGTGAAAAATCCTTCAATGAAAGTTTTTCTTTTATTTAAAGGAAAATGAACTGTAAGATTACAACATCATGGTAAGATTTCTAGCCCACATTGCCTATTTCCTCCCTGATCAAAATTGTACACTAGCTCCTTATTATAGCATAAGATATATTATCACACTTAATGCTTCTCTGTCAAAACACAAGGATCAAAAAGTATTTTCTGTTCTAACATAAACACCCAGAAGTTACTATGTTCCTAAAATCACCACAATACTATACTCTTACCTCTGGATAGTTCTGCCCAAAGGACTCTGCAACAAAGCAAAGAAAGAGTTGATGGCACATGTACCACATAGCAAGGATCATACAACTCACGAACAGTGTATAGCAGTGGCTGACAAAACGAAAAGGGGGATATGATGCCCTTTCAGGCATTCCATGAGGCCATACGGATTTTCAAGATCCTGCTAAGATGACTTGTTTACTCTCATTATCTCGGAAATATACAGATGCGTTTTCCTGAGACTATATGACCTGGGATATTGAAACAGAGTGAGGGCAGAAGCAGATGTGAGAAGTCCCCCAACTTCTATTCAGGCAAACATTGAAGAGATTTGTAAAAATGTCACAACAGTGGCATTTTCCTCACTAAATACTTTGTTTTTGAAAACAAAATAACTACTCACATAAACATGTAATGGATTTATTATGGTTATTTCTATATAATATGCTTTAAAAATATTATCTCAGTTTTAACTTCTAAATTGGTAAACACTGGTAGGTAGATATCACCTACATAAACAAAAACTCTCTGGGGACCCTCTACTTCTTAAAAGTATAATAGGATCCTGATACTAAAAAGTTTGAGAACTGTTGACATATCCAAGTTAGCAACAGTCTTTCTCCATCACACCTTTTGGGCATTTCACAATTTATTTCCAAATTTACTAAGGTAAGAGCAAGGAGCCGGGCTCGGTGGCTCACGCCTGTAATCCCAGAACTTTGGGAGGCCAAGTTGCGGCAGATCACAAGGGAGTTCAAGACCGGCCTAGCCAAAATGGTGAAACCCCGTCTCTACTAAAAATACAAAAATTAGCCAGGTGTGGTGGTGTGCACCTGTAATCCCAGCTACTCAGGAGGCTGAAGCAGGAGAATCACTTGAACCTGGGAGACGGAGGTTGCAGTGAGCTGAGATCGTGCCACTGCACTCCAACCTGGGCGACAGAACAAGACTCCGTCTCAAAACAAAAAGAAAAAGAGCAAGGAAAGGCAAGAGTCAATTCATATCAGTCAAATTATCACAATTACTCTTTGAAACCTTGAAACCTTTAACAAAAGCAGCGATCACACCCCTTCCTGACTAATAACAGCATTTAGGTTGCAACAGCAAATAGCAGTTGATTAAACATGAAATTCTCTTTATTTCTTTGTTTTAGTTTTTTTGGGTTTTTTTTTGTTTTTCGACCGGCCTGGTTTTTTTTGTTTGTTTGTTTGTTTGAGACGGAGTCTCGGTCTGTCTCCCAGGCTGGAGGGCAGTGGTGCAATCTTGGCTCACTGCAACATCTGCTTCCCAAGTTCAAGCGCTTCTCCTGCCCCAGCCTCCTGAGCAGCAGCTGGGATTACAGGCATGTGGCACCATGCCCGGCTAATTTTGTATTTTTAGTAGAGACAGGGTTTTACCATGTTGGCCAGGCTGGTCTCAAACTTCTGACCTCAAGGGATCCACCTGCCTCAGCTTCCCAAAGTGCTGAGATTACAGGCATGAGCCACCACGCCCGGCCTAGTCCTTACAAATTTATGTGTAAAGAGCCCGTGTGGTGGCTCATGCCTGTAATCCCAGCACTTTGGGAAGCTGAGGCAGGTGGATCACCTGAGGTCGGGAGTTCAAAACCACTCTGACCAACATGGAGAAACCCTGTCTCTACTAAAAATACAAAATTAGCCAGGCGTGGTGGCGCATGCCTGTAATCCCAGCTACTCCAGAGGCTGAGGCAGAGGAATCTCTTGAACCTGGGAGGCAGAGGTTGCAGTGAGCCGAGGTCACACCATTGCACTCCAGCCTGGGCAACAAGAGGGAAACTCTGTCTCAAAAAAAGAATAATAAAAATAAAAATAAAAATAAACAAATGTATGTGTAAGTGTGTTTATATGAGCAAGGAAAAAGGTATAAAAGGATAACCCCACTGAAAATTTGGGATGGGGAGGCTTTTTTTCTGTATCTGTACATATATATATATCCATATATATATTTATTTGTTTTGAGACAGAGTTCGCTCTTGTCTCCCAAGCTGGAATGCAATGATGTTGGCTCCCTCCAACCTCTGCCTCACAGGTTTAAGTGATTCTCCTGCCTCAGCCTCCCGAGTAGCTGGGATTACAGGCATGCACTGCCATGTCCGGCTAATTTTTGTATTTTTAGTAGAGACGGGGTTTCACCATGTTGACCAGGCTGGTCTCCAACTCCTGACCTCAGGTGATCCACCCACTCTGGCCTCCCAAAGTGCTGGGATTACAGGCGTGAGTCACCACACCCCACCTCAACTGCTTGTAAGTGCTTTTAGCTGGATTCCCATAGCTCATTTATTGTGGTTCCCTATTATACACAGCTACTTGTTTGTCTCTCCTCTTAGCTCTATTTACGAGGGCAAAAGTGGTATCTTATTTCAATGTTTTTCAAACAGTAAGACGCAATCCACCATAAATGGATACATTAATTTAGTGAGTTGGAACAAATGTTGCAATAGATTAGAAAATATCGGCCAGGTGCAGCGGCTCACGCCTGTAATCCCAGCACTTTGGGAGGCCGAGGTGGGCAGATCACTAGGTCAGGAGTTTGAGACCAGCTGAGCCAACATGGTGAAACCCTGTCTCTACTAAAAATAAAAAAAAAATTAGTTGGGCATGGTGGCACACGCCTGTAATCCCAGCTACTTGGGAGGCTGAAGCATGAGAATCACTTAAACCCAGGAGGCGGAGGTTGCAATGAGCCAAGATCGCCAAGATCATGCCACTGCACTCCAGCCTGGGCGACAGAAGCAAGACTCCCTCTAAAGAAAAAAGAAAAGAAAAGAAAAGAAAAGAAACTATCAGAGAACACTGAACATAACAAGGATTAAATATAATTCTGAGAAACTTAGTTACACGTGTAGGTATATATAGTGAACTGTGATAGAATATATATTTCTTACTGTGATTTGTGGTAAAAATAAGTTTGACAAATGATCTTATTTAATTATATCTCCGGTGCACACTGGTGAATACACAGCAGGGACTCAAAAAGTGGTTGCAGAAGTAAAACTAGTGTCTACCTATGAGCCACTTGTCTAACCACATTAAAAATACATTGTCATTCATTTCCTTCATCTGGCCAGATGTCCTTCAGTAGGCTTCCACAATCACATTACTTCTGTTCCTTTCCTTTTATCTATAATCATTAACTTTCTCACTTTAAAATGCAGAGTCATTTTCAGAGATTGTTATCTTTCGGACCCAGGCTTCTTTAATTTGTCTAACCTTCCAGTGCTAAATATTCCTTCCTGGCTGGGCACAGTGGCTCACACCTGTAATCCCAGCACTTTCAGAGGCCAAGGTGGGCAGATCACTTGAGGTCAGGAGTTCCTGACCAGGTTGGCCAACATGGTGAAACCCAGTCTCTACTAAAAATACAAAAAATATAGCCAGGTGTGGTGTTGGGTGCCTGTAATCCCAGCTACTCGGGAGGGCTGAAGTAGGAGAATCGGTTGAACTTGGGAAGCGCAAGTTGCTGTCAGCCGAGATTGTGCCACTGCACTCCAGCCTGGGCAACAGAGCAAGACTCCGTCTCAAAAGATAAATAAAAATAAATATTCCTTCCTAAGTTTTATCCTAATGAACCTTCTGTATCATTCAAGAAAAGCCTTTTGCAAGATCCTGCTACTCTTTCAAAGTACTAGCGTTATCACCTTTCTTCCATCCTTAAGTTTTTACAAGTAAGCGTCAACCTTTTGCCCTTGTCTCCCACACCATTCTAAAATCATTGTAATCTGGTTTCTGTTCCAGCTGCTGAGGAGTCCCAAGCTGCCAAAGGACTAAACAGAGCAACCCATTCTCAGCCCTCAGACTCAACTGCTCTGATTGGCTTCTATGAAGACGCCACACCAATCTGTACTCTCTTCTTCCTCTACATAGATTAATACATGGAAGGCACTTGAAAATCTGCCTAGCTCAGAGAAAGTACTTTATAACCGTTAGCTAACTTATTATCTCCACTTATTCCTCCTCTTAACCTCTAACTACAGATTGTGTGCTTGGCAATTTTCTTTTCTCCCCCTCCCACTTTTTCTCTAGATCATGTCCTCTATTCACAAGGTTTCAATGAGCCCATCTGAAAGAATACAAATCTCTCCCATAAATCCAAACCTGTCTCCTGACCCCTAGACCACATTCAGCTTCTCCAAAGCTGTCTTTTTCCAATGACCTTACACTTTATCAACAGCATCATTATTTGCTCTCACCATTTTTCACGTCACTCTCTTACTCATCAGCACTATATGCAATCTATTCTCAAATTTGTCATCCCTACCTCCTCAATGTCTTTTCTATTTCCTAGCTCAGGCCTTCCTCATCACTCATATAATCTACCCCTCCAAACTGGTTTTACACTCCTCCAAAACTCAACTCCACATTGCTGTCAGACAAACCTTACAAACTCATAGCTCTGATTGAGTTACTAAGTCAAAATCCTTCAATGGATCTACCCTACCTTCCCTAAAAAGCCCAAACTTTTGAGCTAGGCATTCGAGAACCAACACAAAATAGATGGCACCGATCCCATCCCCTGGCATTCTCTTTATCCACAACCTGGCCAAGCAGGAAAATTCTTTAGGTCTTCTCTCACTGATGCCTACTGAACATCCCTCCCATATTTTCATACTTCAGCCTGTTGATATTTTACCAACCTTAAAAATCCACTTAAGGCCGGACACTTTGGGAGGCTGAGGTGAGTGGATTGCTTGGGGCCAGGAGTTTGAGACCAGCCTGGCCAACACAGTGAAACCCCATCTCTGCTAAACATACAAAAATTAGCCAGGCATGGCAGTGCGCACCTGTAGTACCAGCTACTCAGGAGGCTGAGGCACGAGAATCACTCGAACCCAGGAGACAGAGGTTGCAGTGAGCCAAGACTGTGCCACTGCACTCCAGCCTAGGCGACGGCGCGAGGCTGTCTTAAAAAAAAAAAAAAAAGTCCACTTAAAACTCCAACTCCTCCACAGGTTTGGGGGGTTTGTTTTTCCTGGTTGACTTCTTCCTTTACCCCAAAGACATTCACTCTCTGTTCCAAACATTCTTAGCAACTGGTAATGACTCTTTCAGGCCTGCCTACATTCTGCAATATCCTACAGCTATTTTACATAATCACCTTAAACTCCCTGCTTAATGAAAAGCTCTTTAAGGGCAAAGACCATTTTTTATGTATCTTTGTAGCCCTTTTGACAATTAACATATCTTCTGACTTTTTTAAAAGAGAAACCTAACCATTAGGAACAGCAAGTAGTGCAGAAGTCCTTGAAAACCTCAGCTACCCCTAGAATACCATGCTAAATGTCACCTAATGGAAGTCCAGGAGAAAGGACCTACAGTTTTTAAATAATCTGGATAGGAGGTAAGGAGGCAATGACTCAAAGTGAGGGCGACAAAAGACAACTCCCTCCGTATTTCACACCTCAGTGTTTTACACACCGTCCCTAGCAAAGGACCTTAAACAGAAAGTTAGGATAATTGGATTCCAGTGCCAACTATGCCATTTACTTGCTTAGTGCCTAGCCATTACCCTCTGAGCCTTTATTCATCTGTTCAATGAGAAGCTTCTACCAGAAGATCTCCAAGTCCCCTCCTTAGACTTCTCTTTTCTACAAAAAGATTAACCTGTTCAGGCACCCAATTCCCTGACAAGTCTTCAAAGCTTCATCCCAAGCCTCACTTCTTCAAATTCCATCTCCAACAACTCTGGTCCTGGCTGCTCTGGGTACTTCAACACCTGCGATCCTCATAATCAAAGCTAAGTCACAAACTGTCTGTCCCCATCGCTCCATAATTGATATGAAAGTGGCCTCGGGAGGGGCAATGCAACCTACTCGGGCAGAAGGTGGGCTTCCTCCTCCCGCTGCTGCTCCACATCAGGTGTGCCCAGTGATCCATAGCCGAACAGTGTCCCTAAGATTGCAGCCTGACTCCCCTCCCGCCTGGGTTCCCTCCTTTCCAGTACCCAACGCTTCTCTAAAACGCAGCCACAGCCCTTCTCACCCAGCAACTCGAGGTTCATCCCTGCGGACTGTGGCCGCCCGGTCTCAGCTCCGGCAACAACACCTTCTCCCCGGCCGGCTTCAGCAACTTGCGTCTAAGTGGTGGACGCCGCGAAGAGACTGGCGCAAGCTCCGAAGACTTTCGGCCTTAGAAGGCCCCGCGGCTTCCGCTTTCTTCCCCCGCCTTCCTTGTTCGTTTCAGGTGGGCTGCCCAAATATATGCCTGACCAAAATCAAGCATACACTCTCTCGGAAACAATTAATTATGATCTTTGCTGAGGTACAACAATGTTATCGTCACTAGGGACTTTAAATAGCGCGACAATTTAAGATTATTTGCTCCGGGAACATGTAGGTGAGGTAGAAATTCCAGGCATACAGTTAACCTACTAGTTCTTGCCCTGTTGTGTGTTCAGCGGCGTTGTCCGGGCGGGCTACCTCAGACTCCGCAGGAAAGGTTCCGGACAAGTCCTGCTAATGCAAGAAACCAGGGAAGGTCGTCCCCTAGTGCTCGGGTGTGTAGCGCCGCTGACCTCACCAAGGCGCGTACTTACCCTGTATGTAGGTGGCGTTGCAGGGTGTTTCGGTCTCGTGAAAATTATTTCTCATTTGTAAAGATATGCTATTGATCCTACAGAAAGGTACGACAACATATGTTAGGCCTGTCTGTGTTAAGATAATAAAAACCTTATTATCTAAGGTTTTACCCTTTACCAAACAGTGTTGACAGGGACGCTGTGAAAAAGACTGTGAAAAAGAATTGGAATGAGGGGTGGACTGAGTTTCCCGGAGCTCAGTCATACAGAACTCCAATGAAATACCCAAAGCAATTAGAGAAGTCCAGTTACTGGTATCTAGCGAAAGAGCAAATTTTATATGAACAAATTCCTACTATAAATGCTGTGGCTCATCAGAAAAAGGAAACAACGTCAAAGGCTCGCTGCAGAAAATAGTACTCGGGCTAGGTCTCCGACAATGGAAAAATACACATACACAAGTTTATTAATCGCAGTATTGTCTGCAATTGCAAACTTTTGGAAACAATAATGAAACTTTTGAACTAGGGAGCCCAGCATTTTCATGTTGCCCAGGGCCCTGCAAATTATGTAGCTAGTCCAGTCTGCCTCTACTTGACAAATTTGCAGAAAAAGCAGCCTCATTCACACAGTGCACCCTGTCCCTGGGCCCCAGTTGATTGCTCTTTCAGTAAGCCCCTGACCTAAGCTCAACCCAATTAAATTCCTTTCCCAAGAATTTGGAATGGGAATTAAGTGGCCCCCACAGTCTGACACATCGATTGAAGAGAGTAAATGTGAATTAAGGAGCTATTTAAAGCGCCTAATAATAGATGGACACCATGGTAGTTGGCTGCAGGTTGCAGAATGAAGCAGAAGTCCAGAAACTAGTCAAAGATAATACTTGGTGTATCCAATTAGTTCCCAAGAACATATTACATTAATGTCTTCTATTTCCATTATCCTTGGACCTTTATAAAGTATGTCTTTTGCAGCCGGGTGCGGTGGCTCACGCCTGTAATCCCAGCACTTTGGGAGGCCGAGGCGGGCTGATCACCTGAGGTCGGGAGTTCGAGACCAGCCTGATCAATATGGAGAAACACTGTCTCTACTAAAAATACAAAATTAGTTGGGCGTGGTGGCTCATGCCTGTTATCCCAGCTACTCGGGAGGCTGAGGCAGGAGAATCGCTTGAACCCGGGAGGCAGAGGTTTCAGTGAGCCAAGATCGCACCATTGCACTCCAGCCTGGACAACAGAGTGAGACTCTGTCTCAAAAAAAAAAAAATCCACAGTTTTTCTACTCTCCAAAGACAAAGGAAAACTTTGCATAAAGGCAAAAGCAACAAGGAAAAATATCGTGTGAAAACCACAGCCTAGTTTCCTCTAAATTCTCTGACTCTACTCTCAAATCCAAAGTAATCATATATATATGTATTTAGAGATATGGTCTCACTCTGTTGCCCAGGCTGGAATGCAATGACGAAACCATAGCTCACTACTGTAACCTTAAATTCCTGGGCACAAGTAATCCTCCTGCCTCAGCCTCCCAAATGCAGGGATTACAGATTACAGCTGTGAGCTACCACGCCTGATTCCAATGTAATAATTTTTACAGATTGGATGCTAATATAGCTAATGAAGTTAAAATTAAAGCTGTTAAAAATAAAAATAGTGAGGCCAGGTGCAGTGGCTCACACCTGTAATCCCAGCACTTTGGGAGGCAGAGGCCAGGCGTATCACGAGGTCAGGAGTTCGAGACCAGCCTGGCCAACATGGTGACACCCCGTCTATACCAAAAATACAAAAAATAGCCAGGTGTGGTGGCGCATGTCTGTAATCCCAGCTACTAGGGAGGCTGAGGCAGGAGAATCGCTTGAACCCAGGAGGTGGAGTTTGCAGTGAGCCAAGATCATGCCATTGCACTCCAGCCTGGGCAACAGCAAGACTTCATCTCAAAATAAATAAATAAATAAAATGAAAATAAAAATAGTGTTAGAAAACCCCTGAGGAATTTTCTTTTCTTTTCTTTTTTTTTTTTTTGAGAGGGAGTCTTGCTCTTGTCGCCTGGGCTGGAGTGCAGTGGCGCAATCTCAACTCAGCACCCGGCCCACTGAGGGATTTTCAGTACACCTTTTTCCTCACACCTCTTTTTCCCTTTCTACCCCTCCAATCCTATTTGGACTTTCTTTTTTTTTCTTTTCTTTCTTTCTTTTCTTTTTTTTTTTTTTTTTTGAGACAGAGTCTCACTCTGTCGTCCAGGCTGGAGTGCAGTGGCATGATCACAGCTCACTGCAGCTCAACCTCCAGGCTCAAGTGATTTTCCCACCTCAGTCCCCCCAAGTAGCAGGGACTATAGGCAGGCACCAACATGCCCAGCTAATTGTTGTAGTTTTTGTAGACAGGGATTCACCATGTTGCCCAGGCTGGACTCGAACTCCTGGGCTCAAGCTGTCTGCCCACATCGGCCCCGCAAAGTGCTGCCATTACAGGTGGTGAGTCACCATGCCTGGCCTTTTTCTTTTAAAAAAAAAAGAAAGTTTAAATAACCTGTAAAAATTAGAGAGCAAGCCATGGCACTTCAAAAAAAGGGAAGTGATCTATTTGACAACGCCAGATCTCATCAGTAATCAGTAAAATGCAAATTAAGTCACAATTAGATATTTACAACGACAAAGTTGACAAACTAAAAGAAGAGCACCCAAAATTCTTGTAAGAGAATTCTCTCAAGAGAATGTGAATCAGTACAACCACGTCGGAAAACAATTTCTTGTTATGTAGTAAAAATGACCTTGTTTACATTTTTATACACTATGACCAGGAAATTCTACCTGTAGGTATATATTGTAGAAAAACTCTTGCACAAGTGCACCAGGAAACATGTACAATGGACATAGTACCATTGTTCATAATAGCAAAAAAAAATCACAAATAGCCCAAACATCAAAAACTGTAGAATGGCTATATCCTGATATATTCATATAATGAAATCAGCAATAAGCAGCTAATTGGCCCCCCTGCTACCTACCTCTCTTCTACTGAAACTCATTCTTTTTTTTTTTTTTTTTTTTTTGAGACGGAGTCTCGCTCTGTCACCCAGGCTGGAGTGCAGTGGCGCAATCTTGGCTCACTGCAAGCTCTGCCTCGCGGGTTCACGCCATTCTTCTGTCTCAGCCTCGCGAGTAGCTGGGACTACAGGTGCCCGCCATCGCGTCTGGCTAATTTTTTGTATTTTTAGTAGAGACGGGGTTTCACCTTGTTAGCCAGGATGGTCTCGATCTCCTGACCTCGTGATCCGCCCTCCTCGGCCTCCCAAAGTGCTGGGATTACAGGCGTGAGCCACCGCACCCGGCCTGAAACTCATTCTTTTCCAGTCACATTGGCACTGCCTTGCTATTATATGAGCTTGCTAAGCACTTTATTCCTGCAGGAATGTAGCACTTTTGTTCCCTCTGCCTGAATCCCTCTTTATTTGTGTGTGTGTGTGTGTGTGTGTGTGTGTGTGTGTGTGTGTGTGTGTGACGGAGTCTTGCTCTGTCACCCAAGCTGGAGTGCAGTGGTGCAGTCCCCACTCACTGCAACCTCCGCCTCTTGAGTTCAAGCAATTCTCCTGCCTCAGCCTCCCAAGTAGCTGGGATTACAGGCATGCCCCACCATGCCCAGCTAATTTTTGTATTTTTAGTAGAGACAGGATTTTGCCGTGTTGGCCAGGCTGGTCTCGAACTCCTGACCTCAGGTGATCTGCCCACCTCAGCTTCCCAAAGTGCTGGGATTACAGGCGTGAGCCACTGTACCCGGCCCCTACTTCATTTTCCTTCATGGTAGTTATCACCGCTTGTCCCATTATACATTGATTCATTTATTTGTTTCTTCATTGTCTCCCTTTTACGAGAGTATAAGCTCCTTAAAGGTAAGTACTTTGTCAATTTTATTCACAGATATGCCATTGTGCCTAGAAAAGAAAGGGCATACAGGTGCTTTAATATGTATTTGTAAAATATTTGCAAAATAAATGAATCAGTATAATTAATGCAAAGATTTTTTCAGACTGGCTTCAGAGACAGAGGCTCTCAGACTGGCTTAAGAAATTAAAAATAATCCTTTTTATTCATTCTGCAGAAGATAAACAAATATATTGAGATGGCCGTCTCAAAATCTAAAAGCTGTTCTAGCTTTTTAAAGTTATTTGGAAATAAAAATTAAACTTTTTTTGTACGAAACCCTCAGCAGTTCGTTGTGATTTCAGATTATATCATAAGTGATCAACAGTAATACAATTTATGAGCCATTGTTATCTCTTACACTAATTATTCTTTTTTTAACTATATATATATATTTTAGAGATGGTGCGGGGGGGGGTCTCCCTATGTAGCCCAAGCTGGTCTCGAACTCCTGGGCTCAAGTGATCCTCCCACCTCAGTCTCCCAAAGTGCTGAGATTACAGGCATGAGCCATCATGCCTGGCCTACTTATGCTTCGTGAAGTCACATAGTTATTTAAAATATGTCTTATGATTCTTGATAAATAAAAAGATTTATATTTTAGATGAGTAATAAGACCATTTACCAGTAGAAACCCTTGTTCTTTACATTGTATAATAGTGTAGAAAAACATGGTAGAGAAGTCTGCCACTTAAAAAATAAAGCAGAGAGATGAGAATAAAATAATTATAAAAGACTACTTTTTGTACCACTTCATGACAAGAAATTAAAAAATCTAAAGGAAGCCAGGTGTGGTGGTTCACACCTGCAATCGCAGTACTTAGGGAGGCTGAGGCAGGAAGATCACTTGAGCCCAGGAGTTCGAGACAAGCCTGGGCAAAATAGTGAGACCCTGTTCTAAAAAAGAATAAAAACGGCTGGGCACAGTGGCTCACGCCTGTAATCCCAGTGCTTTGGGAGGCTGAGGCGGGCAGATCATGAGGTCAGGAGTTCGAGATCAGCCTGGCCAACATGGTGAAACCCCATCTCTACTAAAAGAATAAAAATTAGCCAGGCATGGTGGCATGTGCCTCTAATCCCCACTACTAGGGGGGCTGAGGCAGGAGGATCGCTTGAACCTGGGAGGTGGAGGTTGCAGTAAGCTGAGATCGTACCACTGCACTCCAGTCTGGGCAACAGAGCGAGACCCCGTCTCAAAAAAAAAAAAAAATACAGCTTTCTGATAACTTTAGGATCACATCATTTGGACTAGGTAAGAATTCTCAGAACTCTAATAAAAGGAATGACTGGTTTATAAAACTGCTAACCCAAACAGGACAAGAATTAATTGAAGGCTGGGGTAGTGCCTCATGCCTGTAATCCCGGCACTTTGGGAGGCCAAGGCAGGAGGATCCCTTGAGCCCAAGAGTTTGAGGCCTGTCTAGGCAACATGGGGAAACCCTGTCTCTACAAAAAATATAAAAATTAGCCGGACATAGTGGTGCATGTCTGTAGTCCCAGTTACTTGGGAGGCTGAAGTGGAAGGATTGCTTAAGCCTGGGAGGGGGAAGTTGCGGTGAGCTGAGACTGCACCACTGCACTTCAGCCTAGGCAACAGAGTGAGACCCTGTCTCAAATAAATAAATAAATAATTGAATACCAAGAAAATACTTTGCCAAATTGTCATACTAGATCAGCCAGTATGGAAATTGTTAAGATGTGCAATTTGAATAAATTCCATGGTCCAACTCAAATTACCTATGCTAACCCATCTAATAAACAGTGCTATGCACCTAAATTGGGGAAACACAGTTGGTATTAAAATATAAGTCCAATATTAGGCGCAGACTCATGGAGAACCCTGATGGCTGCCTGGCCCTTCCTGAGTCCTTAAAGCCTCCATTATTAAGCTTTCCATGATTCATCATGAAGAGATAAAATGTTCCAAATTAAATGTGTGTGTATGTGTGTGCGTGAGTGGGTGTGTATGATGACTGTTCTAAATTGCTAAAATAGTTTATGATCAATGTTTTGTTTGTTAAACCCATAATCCTGGGAAGATGAACACAACTTCAAGTACATTTCTGCTACCTGATGGGTCACTTAAACCTTTATAGAAGAATTTTATTCAATTGTCATTTTCAGTGCATGTTTTCTGGTTGTAGTGATAGAAGTACTAATACTTATTTCACTGGACAAGTTGTAAAAACAGTTTTATTTATTTATTTTGTTTTTTTTTAATTTTTTAATTTTTATTTTTTTGAGACGGAGTTTCACTCTGGTTGCCCAGGCTGGAGTGCAATGGCGCGATCTCGGCTCACTGCAACCTCCGCCTCCCACCTCCTGGGTTCAAGCAATTCTCCTGCCTCAGCCTCCCTAGTAGCTGGGATTACAGGCGCCTGCCACCACACCCGGCTAATTTTTTCTATTTTTAGTAGAGACGGGGTTTCACCATGTTGGCCAGGCTGGTCTTGAACTCCTGACCTCAGGTGATCTGCCCACCTCAGCTTCCCAAAGTGCTGGGATTACAGGCATGACCCACCGCGCCTGGCCTATTTATTTATTTATTTATTTTTCAGACAGAGTTTCACTCTTGTTGCCCAGGCTGGAGTGCAATGGTATAATCTCGACTCACTGCAACCTCTGCCTCCCAGATTCAAGTGATTCTTCTGCCTCAGCCTCTCAAGTAGCTGGGATTACAGGCATGTGCCACCACACCCAGCTAATTTTGTATTTTTAGTAAAGGTGGTGTTTCATTATGTTGGCCAAGCTGGTCTTGAACTCCAGACCTCAGGTGATCCACCCTCCTCGACCTCCCAAAGTGTTGGGATTACAGGCATGAGCCACGGCGTCTGGCCATAAAACAGTTTTTTGTTTTTTTTTGGTTTTTTTGAGATAGAATGTCCCTCTGTTGTCCAGGCTGGAGTGCAATGGCATGATCTCAGCTCACTGCAACGTGTGCCTCCCGGATTCAAGTGATTCTTCTGCCTCAGCTTCCCAAGTTGCTGGGATTACAGGCAACTGCCACCATGCCTGGCTAATATTTATATTTTTAGTAGAGATGGGGTTTCACCATGTTGGCCAGGCTGGTCTCAAACTCCTGACCTCAGGCGATCCTCCTGCCTTGGCCTCCCAAAGTGTTGGGATTACAGGCATGAGCCACCGCGGCTGGCCAGTTTTTAAAAAAGGATTGCAGATACAATAACATTAGGCAAAGCTAACTGAATTGACTAGATTGCCTTGGTCAAAGGTGTACCAGATTGATGACAATCAGATCCACTTCCAGTAGAAGATGGAAGTTGACCCCTTATGAAATAAATAGTCACTGGAAAGGCCTATGCACCTAATAATAGAACGTCTTGTATCTTCTGCTACTAAATACTGATATGACTAAATGCTACAAGGTTTTAATGCATTATGCCAAAGTGTATTTTCACCAGGTTAAAAAAAACTTTCATAGTCCACTGACTGAGGACAATCAAACCTTTCACAATCTAGAACCTGGAGATCGATTGGGTCTTCTGAGGGCAACATCACAGAAAAACTGCCCTTGGCATCCACAATGCAGCAAAACTTTGAGATCCTGAACCTTGGTCTCATAATCTCACAACTCAGAAGGGCCTCCTCCAGACTCTTGGAACTGTATACTGATTGGAAACCTTAAGGTAAAGCTAACCAGGGAAGATTCTCTCCAGAAGCAGATGGCATCCCAGATGTAGACAGCTTTTTCTCAAGATCATGGATCAAGATTGTACTATCATGATACTCTTCTCTCTCAAATTTTTTCTTGCTTGTGCCTGTATGAACAATAGAACTGAAAAAGTGATCTCATGTGTGTACTCATGGGGTATACTTTTATTTGTAGAGGATTTTGCAGCCACATGGACAGTCTTACACTTTGATAGATAGAAGATAAAAGGCCAGTGTCAGGGGAAAAAGAAAGAAAATTCTTAGAAGCACTTTATTAAGCACTTAATTTATCCCTTTTTTTTTTTTTTTTTTCTGAGACAGTGTCTTACTCTGTCACCCAGGCTGGAGTGCAGTGGTGCAATCACGGCTCACTACAGCCTCTACCTCCTGGGCTCTGGTGATCCTCCCACCTCAGCCTCCCAAGTAGCTGAGACTACAGGCATGTGCCACCATGCCTGGCTAATTTTTGTATCTTTTGTAGAGACAGGGTTTCACCATGCTGCCTAGGCTAGTCTCAAACTCCTGGACTCAAGCAATCTGCCCACCTCAGCCTTCCAGAGTGCTAGGATTACAGGCATGAGCCACTGTGCCTGACCTTAATTTATCTTTAGCACCAGGATACACTAAACTTTCTGGAGCTAGGAAACAAAAGACTATTAGCTAGAAGGAAAGGAAAATTGGAATATAGTGAGTTTCTCTCCAGTTCATTAATATCTTAAGGGAATGCCTAATCAATTCTTTGAACATAAGCTTCTTGAAGGCAAGCAGCCTACTCTGTTTTGTTTCCAAGTGTCTAGATTAGTGGTTGGCACACTATACATCCTCAATAAATAATTGTTGATCAATAAACAACCACAGGAACAATTTATGAACTATAATTCTCATCCTAGGCTTTTTTTTATTACTTTATGTTATTATCTAAAAACAGTACACAACCTTGAAACTAATTCACTGTACATTTTATAAGTGATAAAGACAAAATACCTAGCACATTCAAAGCCACGTGTTAGCTTATATTAATTGCGATCCAAACTTGCACACTGAGTTCAGCTCACCAATCCAGTTAATCAAGACAGATCAAAAGCCGATCAGGGAAGGCAGAGGAAAATGAAATGCAGACAGGTCCTATCTTTATTTAAAATTTTTTTTTCATCATGGCTTCTTTTTGGCATTAATTCTGACTTTTAAAAGTATTGAGTTTTGGAGTGCCCCCTTAAATTTTGCACGCCAAACAAGTGCCTCACTTGCCCCACAGCAGAGGCCTCAGACAACCCCACAATAAGCACCAGAGGAGGAATGCTCCTTCCGAGTCATACCAAATTAAGGTCAGAGGGCCAGGCCATTATAGCCTTGAATGACCAGCCATTGGACATTGACTGGTTTTGGCAAGGAGGCAACACCTTGTGAGAGCCAACTCGTATCTGCTGAAGGCAAAATCTGTGGAGAGGAACTTGGCTGTGAGCTATCAGCATCCAACACCCTTTCCAGCTGGGAGACATTCCTGACAGTTTGGTCCTTAAGGGGCAATATGGGAGGCACAACAACTTTTTAGTTCTGGTATTATTATTATTATTATTATTATTATTATTATTATTATTATTTTGAGACAGAGTCTCGCTCTGTTGCCCAGGCTGGAGTGCAATGACACGATCTTGGCTCACTGCAACCTCCACCTCCTGGGTTCAAGCAATTCTCCTGCCTCAGCCTCCTGAGTAGCTGGAATTATAGGCATGAGCCACCTCGCCCAGCTAATTTTTGTATTTTTAGTAGAGAGGGGTTTCACCATGTTGTCCAGGCTGGTCTCAAACTCCTGACCTCAGGTGATCCACCTGCCTTGGCCTCCCAAAGTGCTGGGATTATAGGCATGAGCCACTGCGCCCGGCCAACTTTAGACATTTCTCTACTGTTAAATTACTACAAGTGTATTAACTTTGTAATTCAACTCATTAACATATTGAGTCTCTAAACAACAACAAAGACTGGGATATGAGGTCCTGTGGACCACAGTTTTACATCCTACTGAGGTAGGAGATGACCTTTCTGAAACCCCAATCCAGCCAGTCATTTATTCCAGCTTCTATCCTATAAAAGTCCTCTCCCACCCTACAGACTGGTGAGCCTATCCCAGGGAACACAGCGCTTAGGCTGCAGATGGTGAGGGTAAGCGCCCCTCCCTCAGGTCTCTTAGGCAAAAGGGGAGTTGGTATTTAGGGTCAATGAGAGTAAAGGGCTGTTGATGAGTGTAGGAGGGTGGCTCAGACATCTCAGTTTAGAACCCCAGGCTGACTCGTTCTCATTCTTACCCTTTCTCCCTTTCCTGGGCAGGTCCTCAGATCCCTGACCCCCTAGGTGAAGTGGAGACAGCCCAAGGCAGCAACCTCTGGCCGGCATGCCTCCCAAGTGCTGCCGTGTCATCTGCACCAAGAAGGGTAAGTGGGGGTCCAGGCCGTGGGGAAACGGGCCCTGTCTTAAGTCAGCTCCACTGCCACAACACAATACCATAGAGTGGCTGAGTTAAACAACGGAAATTATCTCTCACAGTTCTGGAGTCTGGAAGTCCAGGATCAAGGTGTTGATGGATTCAGTGTCTGGTGTGGGCCTAACTTCTGGTTCACAGACAGCGTCCTCCCTGCTGTATCCACCTGATCCATCTGCTTCTCAGTCTACATCTTGCCTGAGGTCTTCTTGAGGGACTAGGACAGAGAGCAAGGGCATGAGGGACCTGCTGTGCTCTAGTGTTCCAGAAAGAATGGAGTCTGGCTGCTTGTTCTCGCAGTCCAATAACAAGATGCAGACAGACTGGGAAAGAAGGGAGTTTATTATTTTTATTTATTTATTTTTTGAGACAGCATCTCGCACTATTGCCTGGGCTAGAGTGCAGTAGCACGACCTCAGCTCACTGCAACCTCTGCCTCCCGGGTTCAAGCGATTCTCCAGCCTCAGCCTCCCGAGTAGCTGGGATTACAGGCACCCACCATCACGCTCGGCTAATATTTTGTATTTTTAGTAGAGACAGGGTTTCACTATGTTGGCCAGGCTGGTCTCGAACCCCTGACCTCATGATCTGCCCACCTTGGCCTCCCAAAGTGCTGGGATTACAGGCATGAGCCACCGTGCCCAGCTAATTATGCCTAAATCTTGGCAGAATCCAGAGCCCTCTCATTATTCTAACCTTGTGGGCTTTTATCAGTTTTACAAAGGCAGTTTAGTTCTGGGAAGGGCTATTATTATTCTTGCTTTAAGATTAAACTATAAACTAACTTTCTCCCAAAGTTGGCTTGGAATGACCAAGGACAGCTTGGATGTTAAAAGCAAGATGGAGTCAACTATATCAGATTTTTCTTACAGTCATAATTTTGGAAAGGTGGTTTTATCTGAAGGTAATCAGTATCTTTATCCTTCTCTGAAAATATAGGGATCTTACAATATTTCAAAAGTTCACCCCCTCATTTGAGCCCCAGAGTTCAAGGCTGCAGTGAGGTATGATCATGCCACTGCACTCAGCTTTGGTCAACAGAGCAGAACCCCATCTCTAAAAAAAGGAAGAAAAACCTCTTGGCTGAGATTCTTTTGCCTCAGAAGTTAGATATCATTATACATATTGCTTTATTTATGTATTTATTTGTTTGTTTGTTTGTTTGTTTTCTCGAGACAGAGTTTCACTCTGTTGCCCAGGCTGGAGTACAGTGGCACAATCTTGGCTCACTGCAGCCTCTGCCTCCTGAGTTCAAGTGATTCTCGTGCCTCAGCCTCCCTGAGTAGCTGAGATTACAGGCATGCGCCTCCATGCTTGGCTAATGTTTTTGTATTTTTTTTGTATTTTTAGTAAAGACAGGTTTTCACCATGTTGGTCAGGCTGGTCTCGAACTCCTGACCTCAAGGGATCCTCCCGCCACAGCCTCTCAAAGTGCTGGGATTACAGGCCCATTACATGCCCGACCTGATATCATTATACATTTTTTTTAATATATAACCAATGTGTGTTTAGATTTAGCCATCCATTTACTGTTTTCTTCGCTTACCATTCATTCCTGCATGTCAGGCCTCTCTAGGTTCATGGTTTCCTTTTTCCTAAAATACATCTTTTACATGAGTATTAATGAAAATCAGTTTGTAAATTATTTCAACTTTTGATTTTTAAAAAATGTTTTAATTTTTATCCTCATTCTTGGAGTATACATCAGCTAAGCATATACTTACAGGTTGGTATTTCTTTTCTATCGCCACTTTGGAGATGTTATTTAAAAGACAAGACAGGGCCTGGCGCAGTGGCTCACACCTGTAATCCAGCACTTTGGGAGGCTTAGGCAGGCGGATCACTTGAGGCCAGGAGTTCGACACCAGCCTCGCCAACATAGTGAAACCCTGTCTCTACTAAAAATACAAAAATTAGGCCAGGTGTGGTGGTGTGTGCCTGTAATCCCAGCTACTCGGGAGGCTGAGGCAGAAGAATGACTTGAATCTGGGAGGCAGAGGTTGCAGTGAGCCGAGATGGCACCATTGCACTCCAGCCTGGGCAAAAAGAGCAAAACTCCACTCAAAAAAAAAAAAAAAACAAAAGCCAAGCGTGGTGGTATAAGGCCCAGACCCAGACCCAGATCTGAGTTGCAGCCACCCTCACCATGCTGCCCACTGCCTGCGCTCCACCACCTGCCTCCATGGCCAGTCATGTTGGAGCATATGAGCTTGCTGCCCATACGAATAGATTACAAGGGACAAAAGCTAGTTGAACAAATGTTTCAGAGAATTATTATTTTTTCTTCAGTCATTGGATTTATCTACGGTTATGTGGCTGAACATTGCAGATGAACTGTCTATATAGTTATAGCTGGATTTGCTTTTTCACATTTGCTGACACTTCACCCGTGGCCCATCCATCAGTGGCATCCCCTCAAGAGGTTACTTGTCCAAGACTCATCACAGACAACCAACAAGAAGCTGGGGATAGAAAAATTAAGAGGCATGCTAAAAATACTCTATTGGGGTTTTCCTGGTTTGGCTTTGCTATAACACCTGTTTTTGTTTCATGTGAAATGGATCCAAAACATCAGATAAAAGCCACTCATGCAGGCTGGGCCCGGTGGCTCACACCTGTAATCCCAGCACTTCAGGAGGCCAAGGCGGACGGTTCAAAAGGTCAGGAGATCGCGACCATCCTGGCTAACACGGTGAAATCCCATCTCTACTAAGAATACAAAAAATTAGCTGGGTGTGGTGACACACGCTTATGGTCCCAGCTACTCGGGAGGCTGAGACAGGAGAATCACTTTAACCTGGGAGGCAGAGGTTGCAGTGAGCTGAGATCGTGCCACTGCACTCCAGCCTGGATGGCAGAGAGAGACTCCGTGCCCCCCAACCCCCCCCAAAAAAAACACTTCATACATCCAGGCATGGTGGCTCATGCCTCTAATCCCAGCACTCTGGATCACCTGAGGCCAGGAGTTTGAGACCAGCCTTGCCAACATGGTGAGACCCCCCCCCACCCCCGCCATCTCTACAAAAATACAAAAAAGTTTAGCCAGGCATGATGGTGGGTGCCTGTAATCCCAGCTACTAGAGAGGCTGAGATGGGAAAATTGCTTGAACCTGGGAGGCAGAGGTTGCAGTGAGCCAAGATCATACCACTGCACTCCAGCCTGGACCACAGAGACTCTGTCTAAAAAAAAAAAAAAAAAAGCCACGAATGCTTTCTGGCACAGCTGTATGTAGATCTGGTTTTCTATATTTCATTTTTAATCCCATTGGGTTTTGATTTATAAATATTTTAGAGCCTCTCTTTATTATCTTGCTCTGAAATGGAGAATAGAAAATACAAGTATGCAACATTTTTTCAGGTTTTTATAAAGTTTTCATAATGAAGAATAGTTGGCTTACAAATTATAATACAATTTAACTATCGAAGTGTGTGCATGTGTGTGTGTGAGACAGGGTCTGGCTCTGTTGCCCAGGCTGTAGCGCAGTGGCAAGATCTTGGCTCATGTAGCCTCGACCTCCCAGGCTCAAGCGATCCTCCCACCTCAGCCTCCCTCCCTGTAGCTGGGACCACAGGTTTTGTATTTTTAGTAGATACAGGGTTTCACCATGTTGCCCAGGCTGGTGTTGAACTCCTGGGCTCAAGGGATCCACCCACCTCAGCCTCCCAAAGTGCTGGGATTACAGGGATGAGCCACTGTGCCTAGCCATTAACTATCAAAGTTTTATAATTCACTATGAGTAAACTGTTTAATATTTTCAATTAAAACTGATAGCCTCCTGAGTAGCTGGGATTACAGGCGCCTGCCACCACGCCCAGCTAATTTTTGTATTTTTAGTAGAGACGGAGTTTCACCATGTTGGCCACGCTGGTCTCGAACTCCTGACCTCAAGTGATCTGCCCATCTCAGCCTCCCAAAGTGCTGGGATTATAGACGTGAGCCACCACACCTGGCTGGCAAATTTTTAAAATTTTTTGTAGAGACAGGTCTCACTATTTTACCCAGGCTGGTCTTGTACTTCTGAGCTCAAATGATCCTACCACCTTGGCCTGCCAAAGTGCTGAGATTACAGGTGTGACCCACCATGCCTGACCACACTTGCAAATTTAAAAACATACCTCTGTAAAACTCACCTCAACCTCCTGGGCTCAGTCAGTCCTCCCACTTCAGCCTCCCACGTAGCTAGGACTACAGGCACACACCATACAATGCCTGGCTAAATAATATCATTTTTATAAAGCACAAACACAGGCAAAACCAACGTATATATTGTTTAGAGCTACACATACATTTGGAAATACTTTTCTTAAAAAAAAAAAACAAGAGAATGGGCCAGACGTGGTGGCTCACACATGTAATCCCAGCACTTTGGGAAGCCGAGGCGGGTGGATCACGAGGTCAAGAGTTCAAGACCAGCCTGGCCAACATGGTGAAACCTCGTCTCTACTAACAATACAAAAATTAGCTGGGCAAGGTAGTGTGCACCTGTAATCCCAGCTACTCAGGAGGCTGAGGCAGGAGAATTGCTTGAACCCAGGAAGCAGAGGTTGCAGTGAGCCGAGATCATGCCACTGCACTCCAGCCTGGATGACAAAGCAAGAATCCATCTCAAATAAAAAAGAAAAAAAAAAGAGAATGATCAACACAGTAGTAACCTACGGATGGGAGAAAGGCAGGGAGGTGCCGGAACTGGCATATGGGAAAATCACACAGGGGCTTCCAAACCATGGCAGTGTTCTGGCCCACAAATTGCACAGTAAATTCACATTTTAAAAATTGTTCTTGGCCGGGCATGGTGGCTCATGTCTGTAATCTCAGCACTTTGGGAGGCCAAGGCAGGTGGATCACCTGAGGTCAGGAGTTTGAGACCAGCCTGGCCAACATGGCAAAACCCCATCTCTACTAAAAATACAAAAGTTAGCCAGGCATGGTGGTGCATGCCTGTAATCCCAGCTACTCGGGAGGCTGAGGCATGAGAATCACTTGAACCTGGAAGATGGAGGTTGCAGTGAGCCGAGATGGCACCATTGCACTCCAGCCTGGGCGACAGTGAGATTTCGTCTCCAGAAAAAAAAAAAAATTGTTCTTCTGCATCAATTTTTTTTTTTTTGAAGACAGAGTCTCACCCTATTGCCCAGGCTGGAGTGCAGTGGTGCAATGTCAGCTCACTGCAACCTCTGCCTCCTGGGTTAAATTAATTCTCCCTGCCTCATTCTCCTGAGTAGCTGGGATTACAGGCACCCGCCACCACACTCATCTAATTTTTGTATTTTTAGTAGAGATGGGGTTTGGCCATGTTGGCCAGGCTGGTCTCGAACTCCTGACCTCAGATGATCTGCCCGCCTCGGCCTCCCAAAGTGCTGGGATTACAGGCATGAGCCATCACACCCGGCCGCATCAAAATATATGAGGATGTTACATCTACTCCTTTGCCAGTATCTATAATTTTTAAAAATTGTAAGCAAATCCTGCTCAGTAAAATGTCTTAGACTAACCATCGTGTTTCTCTATGGTCCCAGCTTAGAACCTGGAGCAGTTCCCCTTATTTTCAGAGCCAGTGGCTTCACATTGAGCCTGACATTTGCCTCTTAAACTCCTGCTTCCACACATAGAAAGGCTCTGAGTTAGCCTTTACCTAGATGCTTGAGGGTCTTTGTGATTCATGGGGAAGCCATGCTGAGAAAATAAGGGACGAAGGAAAGAGAGAGGAAATAGAAGCCAAGGCAGTCTTCATAGGTTGAAAAATACTCCAGAGATTTAGAAATGTCCTTCCCAGAGACCAAGTTGTGGCCTCTCTGTGTCAGGCCCCAATCTGTCAATCTTCTTTCACGACCTTGCCTCCCAGTAGTGCCAGAAGGGTGGCTGTGGAGGTCAAGGAGCCCAAGAGGTGAACTGTAGCGACCATGTGTCACCTGGCACCTGTCCTGAATTTAGGTCCCTTTTCTAACTGCTGCTTGATTACTTTTCAGGAGTTATATCTCCTCCAATGAATGTAATTTTTAGTGAGCAGGCAAATTTAGGTGCCTGCCTCCCATCATGGAATCTGAAGGGGACAGATCCTTCCAGTTCTGAACCAGTAAAGCTAGAAGATGGGCCTGGGACCTATGCTGGGCCAGTCGAGAAAACGCGCCCTGGCTGCTAACTCATGAGGGAGTAAAGATGGTTCATCATAGCCTTAGACAGGCCTTTGCAAAAGCTTGCAAAGCTGCTCTGGTTCTAAGGGAGGAGACCACCCCTCATATTGTCTTGTGCCCAATTTCTGCCTCCAAAGAAAGAAGAAGTAAAAACTAAAAGGCAGAAATGAAATCCACAAGCAGACAGCCTGGCGCCACACCCTGGGCCTGGCAGTTAAAGATCGACCCCTGACCTAATTGGTTATTTGCATAAAAAAGGCACTGTGAAGATCCTGTCCTGTTCAGTTCCTTTCTAATTACCGGTGTATGCAGCCCCCAGTCACGTACCCCCTGCTTGCTCAATCGATCACGACCCTCTCACGTGGACCCCCTTAGAGTTGTGAGCCCTTAAAAGGGACAGGAATTGCTCACTCGGGGAGCTCGGCTCTTGAGACAGGAGTCTTGCCGATGCTCCCGGCCGAATAAACCCCTTCCTTCTTTAACTCGGTGTCTGAGGGGTTTGTCTGTGGCTGTTCCTGCTACCGGTCCTGCCTACTGATTCTGTGAGTCTGATCTTCCAGTTCTAGTTGTTGATTTTTTGAGGCACTAGTATTTTTCCAATACATATTTCCTTCCTCCTAAATTAGCCAGGATTCATTTTCTAGATGTTCATAGCAGATAAACAATACAGTAACAGAAATTCCATACTCTAAAAGTTGGAAGTTGCCTCTTTAGGAAAATCACTATTATCAGTTTGATTTATACATTTACAAATTTTTTTTTCTGTGCACTATACATGCAGATGGGCTAAATCTCTCTCTTTTTTTTGAGACGGAGTCTTGCTCTGTCACCCAGGCTAGAGTGCAGTGGCGCAGTCTCAGCTCACTGCAAGCTCCGCCTCCCAGGTTCACACCATTCTCCTGCCTCAGCCTCCCAAGTAGCTGGGACTACAGGCACCCGCCACCACGCCTGGCTAATTTTTTGTATTTTTAGTAGAGACAGGGTTTCACTGTGTTAGCCAGGATGGTCTTGATCTCCTGACCTTGAGATCCACCCGCCTCAGCCTCCCAAAGTGCTGGGATTACAGGCATGAGCCACTGCTCCTGGCCAGATGGACTAAATCTCTAGATAATTTGGGGTTATGGGGAACAAAGGGATTTTTACCAAAAAATGGGTTATGTTATATATATTCTTTTTTTGTTGTTTGAGATGGAGTCTTGCTCTGTTGCTCAGGCTGGAGTGCAGTGGCATGATCAGCTCACTGCAGCCTCTGCCTCCCAGGTTCAAGTGATTCTCCTCCTGCCTTAGCCTCCCCAGTAGCTGGGGTCACAGGCATGCACCACCACACCTGGCTAATGTTTGTATTTTTAGTAGACACCATATTGGCCAGGCTAGTCTCAAACTCCTGATCTCAGGTGATCTGCCCACCTCAGCCTCTGAAAGTACTAGGATTACAGGCATGAGCCACCGTGCCCGGACAAGCCACTGTGCCCAGCCTACAGTTTTGTTTTTTTGTTTTGTGTTTTTACATTTACATCTCTCCCAGACCTGGACTTTTTTTTCACATGATGATTTAAGTATTTTTTTCCTCAGGTGGTGATATGATTTGAATGCATGTGTCCCTCCAGAATTCCTATGTTGGAACTCAAACCCCAAGCTATTAAGAGGTGGGGCCTTTGGGAGGTGATTAGGCCATGCGGGCTTAGCCCTCACGGATAGGATTAATGGCACTATAAAGAGGCTCAGAGGGCTGCCTAGTTCTTCCATCTCTTCTGCCATGTGAGGACAGCGTTAGTCTCCTGAGGGACGCAGCAACAAGGTGCCATCTTGGAAGCACAGAGCAGTTCTTACCAGATAGTGACCCTGCTGGCACCTCAATCATGAACTTCCCAGCTCCCAAAACTATGAGGAATAAATTTGTTATTTATAAATTACCTGGTCTGTGGTATTTTGTTATAGTAGCAGGAAAAGACTAAAACAAGGGGATAGCCAACTTTACTGACTAATCTATTTTTTTCATGGATTTGAAATGCTAACTTCAAAATATACCAAGGGGGCCAGGAGTGCTGGTTCATGCATGTAATCCCAACGCTTTGGGAGGCCAGATCACCTGAGGTCAGGAGTTCGAGACCAGCCTGGCCAACGTGGCGAAACCCTGTCTCTACTAAAAATACAAAAATTAGCTGGGCATGGTGGTGCGTGCCTGTAATCCCAGCTACTCAGGAGGCTGAGGCAGGAGAACAGCTTGAACCTGGGAGGCGGAGGTTGCAGTGAGCTGAGATCACACCATTGCACTACAGCCTGGGAGAGTGAGACTCTATCTCAAAAAAATAAAAATGAAAATAAAATATACCAAGGAATAGACTCTCCCTAGAAGGGCCACAAGAGGCCTCAATCAGTGTGTGTCTCCCCGTAGTAACTGCACTCCAAAGGAGGTTATTCAGTTAGCACTTCATGGACTCCTTGGGATTCTGCTAAAGACAGAAATTTTGAGGTTGAATTTAATAATGTTCAGAAGCCTGAACTCCACCGAAATAAAGGATCAGGAAGGCCACTCAAGTTGCCCTACTCAGGGCACATACCTACTGAGGGATGTGTTCTTGAAAAAGCATACCCAATCTGAAAATGTGTATACCACAAGCTATTTTTTTCCAAAGTAATAAGGGCAAAGGAAGAGGTTAAGAGAACTCCGTCACACTGAACTTCCTAGGAAAATACAGGGCATATGCATATAAGATGGGATATATTTAACTATGAAGTGTGGCTGGAGTTACTAGAGAGTTTCACAAGTGTTAAGAGGCTTATCTGGGCTGGGTGCATGGCTCACACTTATAATCCCAGCACTTTGGGAGGCTGAGGCAGTATTGCTTGAGCCCAGGAGTTTGAGACCAGCCTGGGCAACATAGCCAGACCCTGTCCTTAAACAAACAAAAACAGCCAGGCACGATGGCATGCATCTGTGGTCCAGATACTCAGGAGGTTGAAGCAGGAAGATTGCTTGAGCCCAGGAGGTCAAGGCTACCGTGAGCTATGTTTGTGCCACTGCACTCCAGCTGGGGCAACAGCAAGAGCAAGACACTGTCTCCAAAATAAAAAATAAAATAAAATAAGGCTTATCTGCATTATTAGCATTAACTAACTGAGCTAACCGGCTTCAGTTGCATTAAATGAATACTGTGTCGGTATAGGCTGAGAACCAGCGAGATCAACCTCAAGGAGCAGGACTACACCAGCTATTTAAGATGTGCTGCCATCTGCTGGCTAACCTTGTGTTGCAGTCAAACCAAAAGTACTTACAGCAAAAAATGACAGCCACACAAGCCGGACATGGTATGATAACAAAAAACAAACCAAAGCAAACGCACCTCGTGCTGCACGCTGACCTTCCCTGGTGACTAGAAGTGGTGCCTGTCTCTTGGCGGTGGCCCATGGTGGTGCCTGTCAGGCACTGCTGAGCAAGCAAATCTCAGCACTGGGGTGAGCCTAAATAGAAAATGCAAAATACACTACATGCAGATAGGCCAGCGTAAGATTATGTGCCCAGTTCCCTCACCATGTATTATAATAGAGTAGCTAGGCTCATATATGAACTCACAATGCTGCAGGTTCGTGCTTAAAAGAAGCTGGAAAAAAGCATGTCACCCAGGATAGGCTCTGGAAGATACATGACTATCATCTCACCCCTTTTCTCCACTATCCTATCTCCCATTCCCTTGCCCCACCCTTCAGTAGTGATGATGTAAAGTACCCAGAGGCCAAGAGCCATGGTGGCTGGGGAGGGCCCCTGATGGGAGAGGAACATGTTCCATCCATCTCTCCTAAGGCAAACTGAAAGACATCTGACTGAAGGTCACCAGTGGAAATGGAATGGATTAGGGAACGTCCTGTTACTATGGGTAGTGAGGTAAGGGAAAACCAAAACCAAACAGATAGAAACCTAAAACGTTAATGTGATCTTTATTATACAGCACATCTGGTATTTGTGTATCCCAACAAGTATACAGAATACTCTATAAAACCAAACCCAACCCTTCAATATTACACTAATGAAGATTAACCCAGAGTCGCATCTCTTCAAAATGCACACAATTAAGACGGTCCTGCTGTAACAATATTATGGAAAGAGCCAGGTAGCACAAGAAAGGAGAGAGGATAAAGACTGAAGTGTGTGCCAAAGTCATTGTCTTTTGTTATTGCACTTTTATTCTACACACTTAGTATCTTACACTTTTATTTAACACTGTAATAAACATTAGTCCTTTAAAACAAAGAAAAAACATTACATGAAGACAAAAGACAACAGGCTGCCCAGACCAATTTTCTTTTCAACTATCTGGGCAAGGTGGCCTCCCCAGTGCTAGATGTCCTGATGCACCTCTGAGATCACCTCAATTGGACTGGATGTTAACAAAACAGATGAAGTTAAAAATGAAACCCTTTTAGGAACAGTAGTGCTACTGGAAACCTCCAGGAGAGTTTGGAATACAAGTGTCTCAAGGCCACTCCCTCCTTACCCACTTTAACATCAAACAAGCTCTATTCATCCCACCTCCATAACTGAAGGATTAACCTTCTTTTTCTTTTTCTTTTTTTTTTTTTTGAGATGGAGTCTTGCTCTGCTGCCCAGGCTGGAGTGCAGTGGTGTGATCTTGGCTCAATGCAGCCTCTGTCTCCTGGGTTCAAGCAATTCTCCTACCTCAGCCTCCTGAGTAGCTGGGACTATAGGTGCCCGCCACCATGCCTGGCTAATTTTTTCTATTTTTAATAGAGACGGGGTTTCACCATGTTACCAGGCTGGTCTCGAACTCCTGACCTCAGGTTTTAAAAAGTGGGTTACTTGATCCAGAAAATCCAAAAGCTTTGGAAATTCCAGGAAAGCAACTACTCTTTTGGCAGTGGACTCTTCCAGGGTTGTTAATCCCACTCTGACACAATATGGATGGACTAGGGAGGCTTCCTGATTATCCAAATGGAATACCAAGCATGCCATCATCTCTCCAAAGCAAGCCCAAAGGGGGCTTTAACTTCCCAAAGTGCTACTGTAATCACCAATTCCCCTGGGCCTCCCAGTGCTAAATAATAAGCCAAAGCCAAAAAATAAAGTGTCATTCAGTGCAGTTGTCACTTTGCAGCCCTGCAACCCCGAGGCACTTCTTCCATGAGGAAGAACACTTTGTGACCCTTCTTTGGCAGCTCAAGCAAAGACACAAGAATGCATTTGAGAGCTGACAGGTACTAGTCGAGAGTTCTATGAGTCCCCTATTTCTATCTGTGGTAGTAATGCATTCTTTCCTCCACTGCTTCCTTGAATTTTAGTGTTAAAAATTAGGAGAATCTGCTGCCTAGGCTCTGTCCCCTTGAAGTTGATGGAGTCAAAAGTGACTCTCTTTGGTCTGGGAACAACCAGCACAGTCCTCCTGAAGCGCTTGCTCAGTCAATGAGCTACTCTTTGCAGAGGATCAGGGAACTAAGGTATGCCTGGGGAAACCCCACCCAAATGAGCCATGCCAGACAGCCCTTGCCATCAGCTCTCTAGGCACAGGGTCAGCCATTCCAGGGCCCCAGGCTCCACCATTTCTCCTGACTGCTCTGCAGGAAGGCCTCTCACTCATTTCTGAAACAAAATGAGAGACCAGACTTCAAGCTCTGGCCATTAAAAATGGCCAGGTCATCATTTTCATGTTGGGGTAAGCTGCCCTAATTATGTTGATTAGAAGGACAGACCACAATAAGGGTCATTCTTTCATGCCATCCTTTTTCTTCCTCCAGCCACAATCTCACCTCACCACTTGGGAACACATACAACCAAAGCTGGGAGGTAAAATCTTTAGGACTTTGGTCATGCTGAGCCCTCTATAACCCAAGTGCTGCCAGACTTCTTTGAAAACCTAGTGTCCTCCCAAGTAATATACAATACAGTACATTTCATGGCATTCCATCACTTATAATAAGAATGGATGCCAAAGAACAAAGCCAAAATTAGCTGACAATGTTATAAAACAAAAGCAAAGTATACACACTCTATACACACGTATACCTGCACTCAGCCTGCTGAGTATTTAAATAACATCCCCAAATATCCATATGTGGACTTTGGCTGGCCTAGAGACTTTCAAGAATATTTTGCACCTTTTCTCAAAATACTTTTTTTTAAAGAAAATGAACTGTAACACAACTACTCATCTCCTTACTTATATCAGTCCCTCCCTTCCACCCTCCCCACTGGGGAAAAAACTGTTGGGGAATCTGCTAGAGAACTGGTATCTGACAGCAAACTAAGCCGTGGGGTAAACTAAAAAGGGACTCTGGGTAGAGGAAAAAAATCTAACCTCCCATATGTGAATGAGAGTATGAGCTAATACTTCCCAAGAATGCTAGGAATGTGACCTTCATAATGGAAGCACAGACTTATGATTATAGTTAGAGTCAAAAGAAAACAGTCTGGAAAGGGAACTATATAAGACTTTTCCTAAAATTTCATACACAACAGACTTACAATGATTTTCCAGCAAGTAGAGAGTACTTACCCCTCCTTTCTTGACACCTGACTCCCTTGAAGCCCCATCATAGTTCCCAGAAGGACAGTAAGTTAGTGCAGAGAATAGAGTACTTGAAGTATAGCTAAATAGGTGGTAAAAATTCTGAGAATATACTGAACATCCTACCAAAACAAGGCTAAAGCCTGCAGAGCCCAAAGACACTGAGTCAGTTACTTTATCATTTGCAAGTAAAAAGGTTATTAGCACTACATGGAATTTCTGAAAGGCTCCAAGAGTTTAGGGAGCTACTATGCTCAAACATATCATGATCAGAGCCCAGGATAGCCAAAGAGTTAAAAGTTATATGAAAGACCCATTATAGACTCCATTTATACTCCATTAATATTTAAAAGATGGTCATTCTGTCATAGACAACCCTAGAAAATCCCAGCAGCAGATGTGCGACTCATCTTTGTTTTTTGTTTTTTTTTTTGTTTTTTTTTGAGATAGAGTCTCGCTCTGTTGCCCAGGCTGGAGTGCAGTGGCGTGATCTCGGCTCACCATGACCTCTGCCTCCCGGGTTCAAGTGATTCTCCTGCCTCAGCCTCCCAAGTAGCTGGGATTACTGGTGCGTGCCAGCATGCCCGGCTAATTTGCAACTCATCTTATACACCTACCTGGGGACCTGTTTTACAAACTCTCGGGCTGAACACAGGGGCCAGACCACAGTTATTGGGGATTAGGCAGATGGAGGGAGACTACTCACTTCCACTGTCTACTTCCTCGTCTACCTGTTTTTCGGAATCTAATGGACCAGTTTGGTTGAGGAAGGCTTGAAGTCAAGTGCATCTGAGATGCACCAATATTTAAATTGTTCCCCTTCCTCTGCCTAGAATCAGAATTTCTTTCCTCAAGCACACTTCATGAGGAACCCTCCAAAAGACCACCCACCCGCCTCCCACCTTTCAGGGAAACTTCCCAGACACTAGCACACAGGGGTGAGGGGCACACACAGAACTACCAGAGGAGGGTTTTTCTCTTTCGTCTGCTGCTTTTTTTCTTCTAACAGATTTTTAAAAAGGTAAAAAGAAGGAACAAATTGCGGGAGAAATCGTGGTTAAAAGCTCATTGATCAAGTTTTCCAAACGTCAGTGTGTTAGATTCAAACACAAAAAGAAAAATTTCTGATTGTGTTAAGTTTTAAAAACAAGCTGGTTTTCTTCCAGTATGTTTGTACATAGGCCATGGCCTCCAATCATCTCCCACCTCTCAGTTCTCACCCAAATACTTCGCATTGGGTTGGTTTTGCTTAGACACTCACTCCTAAGTACCATGTTATCTGGAGCTTTCCCACTTTGAGATGAAAAGAGGTAAACAAAAGAAAAGACTCAAAGGTAAAAGAACAGATTCTGTTCTGGGGTTAGCAGTAACTCTAAATCCAATAACTCCTGTGTGTATGTCTATATAGATAGAGATATAGACACACACACATATATACATATACACACAAATATATGCATACACATTCTATTTTTTTTTTTTTTTTGAGACAGAGTCTCACTCTGTCGCCCAGGCTGGAGTGCAATGGCATGATCTCGGCTCACTGCAACCTCCGCCTCCCAGGTTCAAGCGATTCTCCTGCCTCAGCCTCCTGAGTATCTTGGATTACAGGCATGCACCACCACGCCCGGCTAATTTTTTGTATCTTTAGTAGAGACGGGGTTTCACCATGTTGGCCAGGCTGCTCTTGAACTCTGGACCTTGTGATCCGCCCGCCTCAGCCTCCCAAAGTGCTGAGATTACAGGCGTGAGCCACCATGCCTGGCCTCTTTTTTTTTTTTTTTCCTCTTTTCAGGGCCTCTTGGTGATGTAACAGTGAAACCCTCCCCCAGAAACCAGGGATATGTGGTCCTATAAATGTAAACACACTGGCACTATGAGGAACAGATAGCTCTGTTTCTAGCTCCCTCACTGGGACTTCTGACCATTGCAACCTGAGATACCTGGCTGCAGACAGCAGGAACCAGACATCCACAAGTTATTGTTTTTGTCCCCATGTTTTCATAATCCCAGAACTAAGCTCAAATTTTCTGAGTCCTGACTAAACTATTCCTAGCTAGAGCCAAAAATCATGAGAATGAGATTTTTTAACACTATTGCCACTGCAGTGTCCCGCTTGCTGTCTTAGAAGTATATACAGTGAAAAGACAATGGTAACATCTGCCTCCTTTTCATTTGTGAAGCCAGAACACCACATTCCTCAGCTTTTACACATCTGAGACACTTTTTTGCTAAAGGGATAGCTTGGCGCTTCAGTGAGCTGCTGAATATGCTCAGTCATTCAACTCTTCACTGTCCAGGAGTCATCCCTGCCTGGGAAGGTTCCAAGTTTCCCAGCAAGCACCAGTTCCCTTGGGAGTGTGTCCTATAGTGAATAAATGTCAAATTCTCCCCATGGCCAAAAGGTGAGGGGGAAGGAAATAACTAGAGAGTGAAAGAGAAAGGTCTTTGCTTTCAAGTAGAATCATCTAGTCCTCTGTTTGGCTGCTCAGAATTGGACTTGCAGAGCCGATTCATGATGCCCTGGAGCATGGGCTGGACAATGCCCAAGAGAGGCCTCTTCAAGGGGTCGCCATCCCAACAGGCTTCCATCAACTGCCAGCACTCCTCATCAAACACAGGAAGACGTTCTGGGCGAGCCCCTAGAGAAAGGAGCATGGAAACAAGATCACAGTGAGAGGGACCCAGCACAACAAAGAGGCATGACCAGCTCAAAGGCTGACTTCCCAGTGGGGCTCAGAATACTAAGAATGCAAGGAGTTTTGACTTCGATTGCAAACATCTAGGTTAGAACCTAACAGTAAGAGCAATTAAAAAAAAAAAGAAAGAAAGAAAAAGAAAAGAAAAACTGGAACACATTAGCATATGAAGTTGAAGAATCGGACATTTTTTAAAAAAGACTTTTCGAGATAGTTCAATAGAGAGTTGACTTGAAGCAAAGGTTGACTTAAATATCTTTTCTGGATTCATGACAGTTTAAACGTATCTACGGCCCTGCTATGGAGTGGCCAGATGGGATGACAGGAGACCCGGTGACATTGCCTGGGCTCAGTCTGCGCTAGCCAGGGGAGTTAGGACAAGGTAGTACTTGTGGCTCTTACCCCTCCGCACATTGTTCCAGAGATGGTCTTTGCTAGCACACCTCTCAAATGCCTCAGGGAGCTTGACAGAGCCTGAGCAGATATACCAGAAAAGAATTCCAAAAGCGTAGACATCCACGGAATTATCGTACTTCCCTGATGGCAAGAAAGGATGAAACGTAATGAGCCACAGAGAGTCAGGCAGCAGCATCTACACCACCTTGCCTCAGTAGAGGGTTGGCTTTTTCCAAAGCTTTTAACAACTATTATCTCTCAATAACAACCCTGCCAGGTAGGCAGGGTACATTTATAATGCCCATTTTACAATACAATCAACTAAGACATTGGGAGGTCACAGCTCAATACTAAGAGAGCCAAGCCTAGAACTTGACAAAGGAGAAGGAAAATAAGGCCTTTCATTCTGCTAGGACAGTCAAAAAGATTAATCACAAAAGGTCATATTAGGGAAATAAAGTTGGAAATACAGGTGGGTAGGTATGTTGGAACCAGAATATAATAATTTTTAAAGTCAGGTAGAAGAGTCTGGATTCAGTGAGAAGCAGGAAGTCATTTATGTTTTAGAGTAGGAGGTGACATGAAGAATATAATATTTTAGAAAGATGATTCCAACAGCAATAGGGTGGACTGTAATAGAAACAATAAAAGAAATTTAAGTATGAAGTAGCCAAAATAGAATAACAGCAGTGGAATTAGAAAGTGTTTTTTTTTTTTTTTTGAGATGGAGTTTGACTCTTATTGCCCAGGCTGGAGTGCAGTGGCATGATCTCGGCTCACCACAACTTCTGCCTGCTGGGTTCAAGCGATTCTCCTGCCTCAGCCTCCCGAGTAGCTGGGATTACAGGCATGTGCCACCACGCCCGGCCTATTTTGTATTTTTAGTAGAGATGGGGTTTCTCCATGTTGGTCAGGGTAGTCTTGAACTCCTGACCTCAGGCGATCCACCTGCCTTGGCTTCCCAAAGTGCTGGGATTACGACATGAGCCACCGCACCTGGCCGAAAGTTTTTTTTTTTTTAAGTAAATCAAGAGAAAGAAAAATGATGACTATCTACTTGGTTCAGATGTTGAGTACGACTACAGCTGTCTCACTAACACCTAATCCTTACATGTATCACCCAGTGAAGGGCTGGGGGAAGACTCGTACATGAAATGAAAGAAATTTAAATATATTGCTAATTTTAACTCTTACCAATACTAATGACTGACCAGGGACTACCTTTCTATCTTCGCTGGCAATGGAACAATCATTCCCATCACTTGGGCTCAAAACCGTGGAGTCATCTTTTAGTCATTCTTTTCTGTTCACTAACCATATCAAGTTAGCACCAAAATTTTGTTCATTCTTCCTCTGAATTAATCTCAAATTTCTCACGTTTGTTTGTTTTAGCACTAACACCAGCTTAATCATGGAGGCAACCATAGAAGACCAGCTATCTAGTCTTACCTTGGTTCTTCCCAAATCATCTTTACCTACTGTTGCTAAAGCTCATCTTCTATCAACATTTTCCTCTGTCCCCTACTCAAAAGCTCAGTAGCTCCTTAAGTCTTGCACAACAAGCCTTGATTCTTCTGTGGGAATTTCAAACTCAATGTATTTTATCTCCAACCTTGTTTGCTACTATTCCCCAAATGGATTTCTTTCCTGTCATGCTTATTTCTATTCTGTGATTTTCTTCATTATTTCCCCTTCTTTAGCCTCCAGAATTTTCTCTCCTTCATGCTACAGGGTTATACTATGGAGACAGAAAGTCCTAGTCTTAAATCATAGCTCCATTACCTTTTAGCTCAATGGTTTTGGGAGTAGGTTTCTTCATCAATCTGGTCTCAATTTTATCCATTGAATGGACATAAAAATACATCATCGTCACAGAATTAAACAAAATATGTGAAAAACCTACCCATACTGCTTAGGTCAAGGTATATACTTAATAAATGAGTTCCCTTCTCACCTACCAATTTCCCAAATCTGACTCAAGTTCTATTCAAAATCTCACCTCCATCACAAAACCACCAAACATTTCCACCTTCATTTATTCCTTCTCTAAACACCAACAGTACATTATATAGCACTTAATTTAGCACTTAATCATACGTTGTGTTGTACTGCTTCCTATTTTACCTCTTAATATATCTCTATGTCAACGGTAAGTTCTTTAATGATAGAGGACAACTCCTATCACACAGGAGTTATTCAATCAATACTTTATGATTAAATAATTGGCTGATTATGGCAGTTATGGCACTAATAACCGAGAGAGATGTCCAAATGGTGATTCCCATTTGTACTTTTTCTTTCTTACTCCTTTACCTCTTCACTTTCCCTGCTACTTGCCTTAGGTAGGTCTCCCCTGATCTGGTTTCTCCCTTGCCTGTGCCAGACCTGCCAGTAGTGATTGTGGAAACGAGCTCAAGGGGTAGCACTCAGGATTAAAGTAGTACGCCCTGCCCAGACCCACTGCCTGCCCTCCAGCCTTACCTGTGAAAAGTTCAGGGGCCATATGGATTGGTGTCCCCACAATGCTGCCTGACATCATGGCCTCTGGCTTGCAGAATCCTAAGTCAGTGATCTTGGCACGGTTCTGCTTATCCAGCTGCCAACAAAGCAGGGCAAGAGTCACCTTGTTTCTGATCCTGCACACAGCACTGCTGCGTACCTAAGCTCAAAGGTAGGTACCTCAAAGTAGTGTCACTGGATAGGATTATGCTCTGAAAATGAGTTGTCAGGTGATTTCATCCTTGTACAAACACCAGACTGTGCTTACACCAACCCAGATGGTATACCTGCTACACACCTAGTATGGTCTTTTGCTACTAGGCTACAAACCTGTACAGCGTATTACTGTACTGAATACCATAGGCAACTGTAACACAATGGTATTTGTGTATCTAAACATACTTAAACATAGAAAAGGTACAGTAAGAATATGGTATAAAAGATAAAAAATGGTATACCTGTAGAGGGCATTTACAATGAATGGAGCTCGCAGAAGTGGAAGTTGCTCTGGGTGAGTCAGTGAGTGAGTGGTGAGTGAATGTGAAGGCCTAGGACGTTACTGTACACCACTGTAGGCTTTATAAACACTGTATATTTAGGCTACACTAAATTTATTTTTAAAAGCTTTTCTTCAATAATAAATCAACCTCTACTTACTGTAGTTTTACTTTATAAACTTTTTAATTTTTTAAGCTTTTTGTTTGACTCTTTTGTAATAAACACTTAGCTTACAACACACATTGTATAGCTGTACAAAAATAGTGGCTTTTTGTTGTTGTTGTTGTTGTTTTAAAGAGACAGGGTTGTGCTCTGTCGTCCAGGCTGGAGTGCAGTGGCACAATCATAGCTCAAGGCAGCCTTGAACTTCTAGGCTCTTCCCACCTCGGCTTCCTGACAGCTAAGACTATAGTTGTATGCCACCATGCCTGGCTAATTTTTTGATTTTTAGTAGAGATTGGGGTCTTTCTCTGTTGTCCAGGCTGGTTATAGGCTTTCTTTTTTTTTTTTTTTAACTTTTAAAACTTTTTTGTTAAGAACTAAAACACAGACATATTAGCCTAGGCCTGCATGGGGTCAGGATCATCTATATCACTGTCTTCCACCTCCACATTCTGTCCCACTGGAAGGTTTTCGGGGACAATAATACACATGGAGCTATGACAGCAACACCTTCTTCTGGAATTTGTCCTAAGGTCCTGCCCAAGGTTGTCCTTACTGGTTTATATATTTACTATATTATACTCTTTATTGTTAGAGTATCTAAAAGGTATGAAAAGATAAAAAGTATAGTACAGTAAATATATAAACCAGTAACAGAGCTGCTTATTATCAAATATTATATACTGTACATAATTGTGCTATACTTTTATATCAGTAGGTTTACACGAGCATCACATGTGTATTGCACTGTGCTGCAACATTACAACAGCTATGATGTCACTAGACAATAGGAATTTTTTAGTCCATTATAATCTTTTTTGTTTGTTTTTGTTTTTTGAGAAGGAGTTTCGCTCTTGTTGCCTAGGCTGGAGTGCAATGGCATGATCTCGGCTCATCGCAACCTCTGCCTCCCGGGTTCAAGCGATTCTCCTGCCTCAGCCTCCCGAGCAGCTGGGATTACAGGCATGCGCCACCACACCCAGCTAATTTTGTATTTTTAGTATAGACAGGGTTTCTCCACGTTGGTCAGGTTGGTCTCGAACTCCCAACCTCAGGTGATCAACCTGCCTCGGCCTCCCAAAGTGCTGGGATTACAGGCGTAAGCCACTGCGCCTGGCCAGTCCATTATAATCTTATCGGACTACATCGTATATGTGGTCTCACTGACCAAACTGTCATTGCGCAGTGCATGACTGTACTTCATAAATCCTGCCGCCAACCTTCCTGTCTCCAGGTTCATTTCCATTACAGGTTGAGTATCCCTTATCTGAAAGGCTTGGAACCAGAAGTGTTTTGAATTTCATTTTTTTTTTTTCAGATTTTGGAATGTATCTATTATATTTGCTGATTCAGCACCTCTAATTAAAAATCCAAAATGCTCCAGTGAGCATTCCCTTTGAGGGTCATGTCAGTGCCCAGAAACTTTTGGATTTTGGAGCATTTTGGATTTGTAATTTTTGGATTAGGAATACTCAACCGGTACTGTCTTCCTCCCCATACTATGAGCAGCATGAGGGCAGGGATTGCTGTTTTCATCTTTGCATCCCCAGTGCTTAGCACAGTGCTTAGCCTGGTACATATGAAGATCCTAAAAAACCCTGGAAGAATGAGGAAGTACAGGTCCATGGAAGGACACCAGGGAAACACTTCAGTGCCTGACTCTCCTCCTGACCCCAGGGCAGAAAGTTGAGGTCCTCCGGTCAGCTAAGGAGAGTTTCCTAAAGTCCCTGTAGTTTCCTTTCCTAAAGGTCGAAGAGAATAAGTATGTCTAATTTGGCTATTGATCAGCCTTTTAGGTTTCAGCTGTCAATTTTAGGGAGATCGTTCCCTTCCCCTAAATTGCTGTCATCTTTATAAATCATTTAAGTATTGCCAGAAACAACTTAATGATATGCCAGTATACTTTCAAGAGGAGCAGGTCGAAAGATTCTTTACAATTCAAATTACAGGACTGGAGGGTTCATGACCATCTCACCATTTAAGGTACACTTACCCATCTCAGCCTTCATCCTACATCTCTGATCAAACCTTAAGCAATAACAAAGCTCAGACTCCTCAAAGGCAGAAAGACTATTCTAGATTAAAGGAGACTAAAGAAACATGACAACAAAATATACTATATATTTCCTGGATTGGATCCTGTATCAAACAAACAAACATACCATATTTAGGGCAACTGAACATATTTGGGACAACTGAAAAATGTTAATATAGATTACATATTAAATAATAGTATTGTATCAATGTTAAATTTCTTGGGTATGATAATGACACTTTGATTATGTAGAACAATGTCCTTTTTCTTAGGAGATACTTAGGAATAAAATGTTTTCTGTAACTTACTTTTTGTGTGTGTGTGTGTGGCAGGGTCTCACTCTGTCACCAGGCTCCAGCCTGGTGCAGTGGTGCGATCTTGGCTTACTGCAACCTCTGCCTCCAGGGTTCAAGCGATTCTCCTGCCTCAGCCTCCTAAGTAGCTGGGACTACAGGCATGCACACGCCTGGCTAACTTTTTTTTTTTTTTTTTTGTATTTTCGGTAGAGACAGGGTTTTACCATGTTGGCCAGGCTGGTCTCGAACTCCTGACCTCAGGTGATTCACCCACCTTGGCCTCCCAAAGTGCTCGGATTACAGGCATAAGCCACTGTGCCTGGCCTTGTAACTTAATTTCATATAGCTCAGTAAAAAAGTATGCACACGTGTGTGTGTGTGTGTGTGTGTGTGTGTGCATGTATAGAGAGAAAGAGAGAGCGTACATTTTGGAGAAAAGAATATGAGTTTGGGTGAAGGGTATATGGGTCTTCATTGTACCACTCTTCCATAAGTTTAACATTTTTCAAAACAGTGTAGGGGGAAAAAACCTTACACAACATCAGCTAGGTCTATGATGAAACTCCTCCCTAAGCTTTAAGTCTCACACACCATC